>NC_000011.10:37181212-37332727 GCF_000001405.40 Homo sapiens | reverse complement strand
TTGAATTAGCAGGACTCCTATCTACAGAATCTACCCCCATCACCAAGGACATCTTCATTTTGTGTACTTTCTCAAGCTTCACGTTTGGGTTTGTTTTACTGTCATTTGTTGAACAATCATTTTGTTCTAGACTCCTTCATATAACACCAGAAACAATTCTTGGAGATTGGTGTTATTATCCTTACACATCTCTCTTTTAAAGTTGGCTCTGAGAGTAGCTTTAGTTTGGTTTTGCTTATTTTAATTGCATACAGAGTAGATCATCAATGTGCATATGCAGAAGTCATATACTTCCACAGAAATAAATTTTCATGTGTTCTTATACTGTCTCTGTATTGTAAACTCCAAATACAAAATCAAAAGAATAAAGACATACATTTTTACTTTTTTTCCATATCTGTTTATTTTGCTTAACTTGACCTGATTTTTACTTTGGCAGGAGGAAAAAAAAAAAGGCATTATTTGTGAGTGTGATGAATAACGTAACACAAACAAAATTAGAAATGGGGTGACTGATTTAGACTATTGATTTTTTCCACTGCTTAAACCAGCACATCAGACAGTTTAAGCCACAGAAACCACATTCAGGTAATTAAGTAGAGAATCTGATCTACACTCAGAGGGACACAAAAGTATAAAGACCAGTAGAGTCCACTGAGGTAACCTGCACAGAAAAGGTTACCCAATCTGACTAAATTCCCCTAGGAATTAGCTGAAGAATGAGGGCACAAACAAGGCCAAGTGCATTTGGAGTAGAAGAATGTCCTTTTCTGAATTAATTCCTGAGTTCATATAAGTATATTTTATTAGAATAAATTATGGGGATAGACGAGTTCTATTAAAACCACTTCAGAAACTGGAGTCATCGAATCTAGGTCAGAGAGTAGAAAATTTAAGAAAAACAAAACAACAAAAGCAAGTTCCATCCAAAGTGGCAGTTATAAAGTATCTGCTGAAGACAGAAGCACTGGCTGAAATGAAAAATAAAGCATTCCTACCTGTGTGGAGCCTGAAAAGGAAAAAAGAATTACAAGAGGAAAGAAGATATGACTGAATTGAATTGACTTGGGTGTGTGAGTGCCAACTTGGGAATTTTTTTCCTAGATACTCAGAGGGAAGAAGTATACCCAGTGTCACCTGCATTATTCACTCCCAAGTCCTTCCTCCAATGTTCCCTGCATTTAATGCACCATTAATTAATTTCTTTAAAACAACATATTTTACGCTTTTCCCCTATTCCTCTGAAATTCATCAAGTAGTCCTAACCTTCTCTCTTCATCTCTCCTGCAAATTATCTGTTGGTAAATTCCCTTTTCAAAGTTAAATGTCAAATCAAATAGCTTCTGAGACCTCTTATCCATTCTTGGCTCTAACTAATGAATATGAAAGACCCCATATTACACTCACCTCACTATTTGGATAGCTTTCCTTTCATGCATAAGGTTGAAAGTAAATCCATATCTCATTTCCTATTTGTCAATGAGGTAGAGTATTTTTCTCCTTCAGTTTGCTAATTAAATTTATACCAATATCTCCAGTTTAAAAGTAAAATGAAAGCACAACCAGCAGTTCTGATTTCTTCTCCATTCCTGACAATTTCTCCTCAGGTTACTTCATTTATGACAAAAAGGTGCAATGTTTCATCTTTCCTCAGACATTTTCATTCCTTATATCTTATATAGACCAAATTCTTCCAAATTGTCTCATCCTCTTATATTCAATACAACAAATTTCAGCACAAACATTACATACCTAAAACACTTTATATTATGACTATCATTTATTCATTTAACAAAGTTTCATGGAGCATCTATTAAGTCTGCAGTGCCAAAATGAAGACCTTTCCCTAAACAAACACATCCTTCTGTTACTCACAATTGAGACTACTAAAGAATGAAGTTCAGAGAAGTGAGTGACCCTCACAAAGTTTTAAAATAAAGACTAAAACAACTTTGGATACTCTAGAAGTCTTAATCCAACAACTTTAATAGCAAACATTGAAAGCAGGAGTTTATAGCATCAATTTCTTTAAGTTGTCTTCTGATTCGTTTTCTTCCACCAATATTTTTCAATGGAAAGTGGAGTAATATATGAATGCATGGAATGCAAATGTGCCACATTTTTCTACATGTCTAAAACAACCCAGATACCCAGTGTAGACTACAGTCTCACTATTGGTGGTTGTCATAATAGCAGTGCCACTTGTCTTGGATTGCTATGATCTGAATGTGTGTGTTCCCCCAACATTCACAGGTTAAAACATAATCACAAATGTGGTAATATTAGGAATCAAGGCCTTTGGGAGGTGATTAGATCATGAGGGTGGTGCCCTGGTAGATGTGATTACTGCTTTTATAAAGGAGGCCTTACTATTATTAAAAAGTCAAAAAATAACAGACGCTGGTTAGATTGCAGAGAAAAAGGAACACTTCTACACTGTTGGTGGGAGTGTAAATTAATTCAGCCATTGTGGAAAGTAGTATACCGATCCCTCAAAGAGCTAAAAGCAGAACTACCATTCCACCCAGCAATCCCATTCATATTCCCAGTGGAATATGAATCATTCTACCATAAAGACACATGTAAATGAATGTTCATTGCAGCACTATTCACAATAGCAAAGACATGCAATCAACCTAAATGCCCATCAATGACAGATCAGATAAAGAAAATGGGGTACATCTACACTATGGAAACTATGCAGCTATAAAAAAGAACAAGATCATGTCTTTTGGAGGAACATGGATGGAGCTGGAGACTATTATCCTTAGCAAACTACAGCAGGAACAGAAAACCAAATACCACATGTTCTCACATATAAGTGGGAGCTAAATGATGATAACTCATGAACACAGAGAAGGAAACAAGAGACTCTGGGGTCTACTTGAAGGTGGAGGTTGCAAGGAGGGAGAGGAGCAGAAAAGATAACTATTGGTTACTGGACTTAATATTGGTATTATGAAATAACCTGTGCAACAACCCCTGTGCCATGAGTTTACCTATGTAATAAACCTTCACATGGGCCCCTGAACCTAAAATAAAAGTTGTTTTTTTGTTTTTGTTTTTGTTTTTGTTTTGTTTTAAAAAAAGGAGGCCTGAGAGAAGTTGGCTGTTCTTTCACTACGTGAGGAAGCAGCAAGAGCGCATTATCTGTGAACTAGAAAGTAGACCTTCACCAGACATAGAATCTATCTTGATCTTGGACTTCTCAGACTCCAGAATTGCAAGAAGTAAATTTGTTATTAACAAGCTACCCAATCTGTGGTGCATTGATACAGCTACTTGAATGGACTAAGATATTATGATTCCAGTCATGAACGGAAACTTTTTCACTGAATAATGAAGTTAGATGGAATCAAACAACTAGTAAGAGTGGTCGTCATCCTGGGTCGAGTTTTTAGGCACAGTTTAAAGTGAAAAGTGGTTTATCAACTGCTTACTGACAATACGAACAAGGAATTTGAGAACTCTGAATATGACACACTTGCAAACTGCCATTCAGCTACCATATCTCTCCTTCTGCCATCAAACAACTTCACCTAAAACAAAGTTCACATTTTGTTTTGTTCTGCCCTACTCCAATGCTTCCTCATTAACAGTGTGGTAGAAATGATGTCTCCTCACATTTGTAAAGGGAGATACACACATTTAGAGCTCTTCAACATATGGCACCTCACCCTTCTGCTCCTCCATTGCTATTTCTACTTGTTCCTCTTCATTCCAATTGCTCATTAAGTCTTATTAATGAGGAAGTGCCACTGGAATTTATCCTTTCATTTTTATCACCACTGTCACCTCCGTGATTCAAGTTTTCCCAGTTTCTCTGTTGAATTATTACAAGTGTATCCCAAATGGTCTGTCACCCTGTCCCTATCCATCATCTACCTTGGAGCTAGAATGTTCTCTTTTAAATAACAAAATGAGTGCTGCCATTTTCAGTGCCTGAAATACTTGAAATTCATTTGGTAAAGTCTGAAGATCTTAACATAATATATAAAGTTAACCATCATATGTACCTGGCCTACCTCTCAAAGCTTACCTTTTTCTATGTATGTAAAGTCAAATTTAGACATACCTCTCAAAGCTTACCTTTTCTATGTATATAAAGTCAGATTTAGAGATACCAAAACATGTGTAAGTCATCAAAATCACCACTCTTTCTGGCCTCCAGGACTTTGCACATTTAAGCTCTCTGCCTGGAATTCCAGCTTTTATTTCACTAATCCCAGGCCTACATAGTAAACAACTTATATCAAATCTCATCTAAAATGTCAGTCTATCTCTGAGGTTTTTTTATATAGTTAGCTTAGGCTATGCATTCCTGTGGTACCAAATAACCTCAGATTATAGAGGCTTGCTACAAAACTTTATTTTGTACTCATGTTTGTGTCTGTTACAGATCAACTGTGCATGAGTGATGGAACAGATTCAGTGTCTGAGACCAACACTGAAGAAGTACCCTTTATCTGGTTCAAGGCAGTCTCAGGAAAAAGTGAGAAGAGACATGATGGAACCATATTTTATAGCTTATGGGCTTCTGCTGACACAGAAACATACCACTTCTACTGATATTTCTCATTACAAAGCCAGTCATATAGGCAAGCACGACAACAATGAGAAATAAAATCTTGCTGCAGGGAGGGACTGGTAGAGAAAAACCTAGTAAGAAGAAGATGTAAATATTTAGATATCTGCCATACCTCCCTATGGAATACTACCTTTATCTAAGTCATGTCTTTTTAATGGACTATTTTATATATATCTTAGTACAAAGATTATCAAATGGCTATACGTATTTACATATCAGCTTTGAAGAAGAGAGGTGGTGATGCCTTCACACTTAGAATGTTTGCTGTAAAAATGAAGAAATGTGGAGCAGGGATTAAAATTGTCATTTTTTTTAGAGCAGGTGTTCAACATATGTCAGTTGAGTTGATCAAAAGTTAAAGAACCTGAAGTTTAGAGATATTTAAGAACTCGCTGAAGGACATAGGCTTGAGTACATTTAGGGCCCAGGATTAGAATTCAAATTTTTTTTAACATCTGGTCCATTGCTCCGTGTGAGGGATGGAAAAAAAGGATTTAAACAAAATCACAAAATAGTGGTAGCAGCCCCAAAGACTGGCATTATACTATTAGAAAGTTGAAATGTTTGTATAGAGTTTATTATGTAGTAGCAGTAAAATTACATAATTTAAAATAGTAAAATTACTGTTGTTATTATGTTATAAATATTAAAACATGCAAATATTCACATGTATTTGAGAAATAGTTTATGTCATCTAAAGCTTTGCATCTATTATACTTCCTTGGTTCTATTAGTTGATAGTAAAACATAATCCTCATCAGAACATAGAATATTTTCCTCCTGTATCTCAAGTTTATGTAACAGTAGAAGTCCTTGCTCATAAAAATGCTTGGTAAAAGCTCCTGCAAGAATTTTTAAATAAAATACACTTTGGGAAACACTACCGATGGTTCAAAGCTAGTTTGTTAAAAGGAGGAAAATTTTTTTCCTATTAATGGTTTCTGTGCTATTAAAACTCTCCAGTCAGCTGTGTTTAGTGTCTAGATACTCATTAGCTTTCTAGGTAACATTAGCAAGAGAGAGGCAGTTTCCCTTCTCTCAGTGTATTTCTTCTAGCCTCATCTGCCATAATCTGTACTATCACTGGTACACTCAGATGGGAATTTTAAACTGATTGGTACTGATTGGTACTGTCATCTTTTGTGTATTTATTTACATAAAATTTATATGTTAAATATTTATTTAACAAATACTAAACATGTACTATATATCAAGCATTGTTTTAGGTGATGTGAATAAAACAGTTAAAGAAAAAAAGAGGACAAAATATACCTGACTTATGAATTATAAATTCTAATAGAAGGGAGACCAACAATCAACAGAAAATAAAATACGAGGTTTGCCAGATAGTGACTTGATGAGGTGCAGTAAGAAAAATAAAAGCACAGAAAGGAGATACAGAGTGGTGTGGCAAAGGGATTGTAATTTGAATACAGTATTTAGAAAATCCTGCACCGATGTGAAGATACCTGTGCAAAGACCTGAAAAAAGTGAGAGATAAAGCCCTAAGACTACCTGGGGGAAAAGCATTTCAAGCTGAGGGAACAGCAGGTGCAAGGGACCTGAGGTATAAACCTATTTACCTAATTGAAAATCATCAGGAATGTCCATGTGGCTGGAATGGATCATCCAGGGGAAGTGTGGATCAAGGATAGGTCAGGGGGGCAGCATAAGTCCAGGTCATGCCAGTCCTGGTAGGCCATGTAACAACTAGAGTTTATTTAATGAATGCTATATGAAACCAAGAGAAGATTTTGAGTATGGAGATTAAATGAACTAACCTGCATTTTACAAATATTATTTTGGCATCTGTATAGACTGGAATATATGTGTGTGTATGTGTGTGTGTGTGTGTGTGTGTGTGTGTGTGTGTATGTAAAATATATAAATATATTTAAATATACAAATATATATTTGTATAAAATGTATTTGTATATTTAAATATATATACAAAAGTATACATATATACTTATATATAACATATATATCTATACATACACATATGTATGTATATATGGTATGGTGTGTGTGTGTGTATATATATCTATATATATAAAACATATGTATGTATAGTAGAAATTGCAGCTTGTTTAGAAACAAGAATCCCTATTTTCTAGTTTAAGGAAAAGATTAATCACATGAGAAACAGATTTATTCCTGGATCTAGAGTCTTGAATAATTGAGAAAGAAAAGGAAACAGAGCCTCAATAAAGGGGCTGCCTGAGGGGTACAGGGTCCATTCCCAGTAAAAAGTGAGCAGGCAAGACTTTCAGGAACAGATGCAGAAAGATACATAGATATGACAGTGGGAGCCAAAAGAAGTCGTCTTCTTCAGTGAAATACAAGGAAAATTTCTAAGTCTAGAAGGAGGAAATTATAGGAAAATTTGGAGGTTTGAGAAGGGAAGAGAAAGCATGAAGTAGTTATCTACGGTAATGGAAGGGTGAATGGAGCAGGAAAATAAAACAGGATTGTGTGGCTGCACTAAGGGACCATTTCCGGTTAGCATCATAAATTTAAAATGAAACCTGTAAGCATGTTTGTGAATCTTTCATCTGCAACACTCAGCTTCTTGAATGCAGGCGTGTATAAGTAGAGATTTTTATTAGTGTTGGAATTTTCCAGGTAAGTATGGTAAATGTTAAAAGGGATGAGTGTGATGATGATGAGGAGCCATAGGGTCTAAGCTAGTTTAATAATAAACCTGTTATGGGGAAGGAAAAGTGAAACATAACAACAATAGATAGCAAATACTGCCTCCGTTAAAAAAATGTGGGAATTAGAATTCTTGAAGGATTGAAGTGGAGAAATAGGAAATGGTGTCTGATATAAGATATTTGAAATTGAGATTGTAAAGGAAATAAAGTTTTATCAATCATAAATGAATAGCTGAAGTGGAGTTAGCAAAAGATAATCAAAGGGAAGCGAGTTAAAGAACTGGTAATTCGTGGTATTGAAAGGATCATCTACACGGTTATTGAAAACACTTGAATTATCACAAAACTACTATTGAAGAAAATGACAACAAGCCTGAACCCAAAATCTCTAAGGAATGAAGGTGAGTAATCCAAGAATCTAAAAGTGACCACAGCAAGGAAGGTAGTTGCTAGTACTACCTGGAGACATGAAATTATGTGATTCAAAACTAGGGGGTTTGAGGAAGAGGAAAAGTGACAGATCTATAACAGCACTGGGGACCCAAATGACATATATCTTAATTCCAGATAAGGGGGTATGTCTGTCCAATAATCACATCTTGAGAGGGATGAAAAGGAAATAGTGTCCTCAGGAAGGACTCAGATTCTCATTAGAGCAAGAAGATGTAGAGAGCAGTCAGAGAAGAACTTGATGATACAAATAGTTTAGATAATGGGTTTTGAAAGCCACAGTGGAAAGGTTTCAGGAGTTGGAATGAGCCAGGATATGGGGTGATAACAGGCAATGTACAGAATATGAGAGTCTAGGGCTGTAGGATGACATTAGAGTTTTAGACTGATGTAGGCAGGAATGAAGAGCAGAATGGAATTTGCCCTTGTATTGCCAAGATACAAGGTAGTAATAAGGCTGTGATGGCCAGACAAAAAGGAAGAGTGAGTCTGACCAGGAACACAAAGTTCTGGGGCTCTTAACTCCACATGGACAATGATTTTTACATACTAGTACATGTGTGTAATAAACTTACATCTCTGAGTATTGTTAAAGCAGCAGCAATGCATCCTTCATAATTTTATCTTGTTTTCTTCTATTTTTCAAAGAATAAATTCCAGCTTCATAATCTGACATGGTGATTTCCACATCTGACTCTAGAATATTTTTCCTTTTATATTTTTCTTCTCAGGTTCAAGTTCTTGCACTTTTTTATGACGATGCATTTCATCATTTCACATAATGACCTGTTTTAGGAATACAAAGAACAAAAGTTACTGATTAAATTGTAGTTATAAAAAATGTTTCCTTCATAATGTTCTTTCATTTTTTTTGTTTGTTTTAAAGCAGTGGAGTGTGGTGGCTAAAACCATTAGCTTGGAAGAAAGATAGGCCTAAATTTGAATCCAAGCTTGGACATGCATTGTCTCTGTGACCTTGGACCAGTTATGCAACTGCTCTTTGCTTCAGTTGCCTAATTTTTAAAATGGGGACATTTTTAAAGCTAAATCAGGCAATGATTATACAGCACCAAGATACTGCCTGATACATACAAAGCATAATAAATATCTGATATAAGTACAGCTACATTTTAGCATTCATTATTACAATGACTACTAATCATTATTAAAAACATATGATATCTTGAGCAGTGATTAGCTAATAATATCAAATTTTCCTTAAAAATTAAGAGTTGTTAAAGGAATTATTAATTCAGTGCACCTGTATAATGTGTGTATTTTCCAAAATATCAAGAGTGTAAATCACCATGAGATAGAGGATCTTGTTCTATTCCTGCAACAAGAAAGCTGCACGATTTTATGAACAAGATTAAAATTAAAATTTAAGCCCTAGAACAGTGGCCTTCCCTTGGTAGGAATGCAAAATATGTTTATAATTTTAAATGCATGATTATTTCAACATCATAACCCTAAAAAATCAGTATCTTATATCAGCATTTTGTTGAATTTCTGATATCACAAATATGTAAAATTAGAATGCCCTGGGAAAAGGATGTAAAGGAAGAGGAATTCCAGCAAATACAAAAACTCATGTAGTATTTATAGACACATTTTCCATAAACTATATTAAAAATCCAAGAAAACGGTTTTGAACTTACACATTTTTTCTCTCACTCAGGGCTTTAAAACTTTCTTCTATAACTTCATTCTTTCTTAACTTCCAGCCACACAATCAATCTGGATGCCACCCCTACACAACTGTTCCTTTACATTCTATGCTGCTGTCATGAGATGTATTTTATTAAATGACACAAAGGTCTGGTATTTTGTGAAATGATGCTAATTCGCTAAGACTCTCCATTAGGGTTCTAAAAGCAGGTAGAAACTTGTCACGTGAAAATGATCCTTACCTCTATGAATATGCTTTTTAATTAATGTTCTATTAACTGGCTGACAATAACTCACGAGCTTAGTGAACAGATCTGAATGTAATTAAACATTTATTAAGTGGCCCAGATCCCTGTTACAATTATAGCCTATCTACCCTTCACATAGGTTGGAGCAGGAAAGGGAGAGGGAAAAAGAAAACAAAATTATAGTTGCCTCCATAATCCACCTCTCGTTTCCATCAAATGGTCCTTACTTTAATTAACAGAGAGTTAAAATAGTGCAAACTCTGTTTATTGGATTTTTAAAGCACAGAGTCCAGAGACTGCTTGTTCGTTATAATGGCACTTACTAAACTGCCTTGACAACTTTCACTTTTGGTAGCAAAGACTCGGCGGAGGACTGATTCAGGCATAGCACCAGTGAACCAAGGAGCAGCTCTGCATATCAGAAATGTAAAATCAGGTCAGGAAATCAACCTAATAGTTTCCTGTGAAGATGATTTGGCTCTTTTATTATGTATTTTAAAACAACAGAAAGGCTCCTCATTTTTCACTTATCGATACTGATTTATCAAAATGTGGTATTACTCATGATGTAGACAGCAGGGAAATCTGGGGTTTGAACCACTGCACTGTTAAGAAGTAGTCTAACACTTAGAATAAAAGACATTATTTTCAACTATATGGAACCAGGTACTTTTTTTTCCTCAGATATTAGTGTTTCTATTCTAGTAGAAACCTTCATTATCTGTTTCTTCATTGTCTCTTTTTTATTTCTTTTAGGGAAGGCAGCTGAAAGTATCAAATATACCTACACATAACTATGAAGTTCCACATTATTTTGTCTCATACACTGAGAATATGATTACATTAGAATGATGAAATTCAAAGTTATACATTCTGAAATTGCTCTATTTCTAAGGCTATGTCAATATTCTATTTCTTATATATTAGTTTGAAAACTGGACTCCTATCTGATTAGATGAATGTTGGCAGTTACTACTAATGATAACTTGAATATAAGTAAGTACAGAATATATGCAGTCATAAACCACATAATGGTGGAATGCATATACAACTGTGGTCTCATGAGATTTTCATGGAGGTGAAAAATTCCTACCACCTGGTAACGCCAGAGCCAACATAATGTCATAGCACAACATATTACTCACATGTTTGTGATGACGCTGGTGTAAATAAGCCTGTTGTATAAAAGTATATGATATGCAATTATATATAGTGCACAATATTTGATAATAATAATAACTGGTTACTGGTTTATATATTTACCATACTATACTTTTTATTGTTATAACCAGCTATAATAATAATAACTGGTTACTGGTTTATATATTTACCATACTACACTTTTTATTGTTATTTTATAGTGTACTCCTTCTACTTATATTTTAAAAGTTAACTATAAAACAGCCTCAGACAGGTCCTCCAGGAGGTAGTGTAGAATAAGGTATTGTTATTATAGGAGATGACAGCATCACGCGTGTTATTGCTCCTGAAGACCTTCCAATGGAACAAGATGTGGAGGTGGAAGACAGTGATATTGATCATCCTGACCCTGTGAAGGCCTATGCTAATGTGTGTTCTTGTGTCTTAGTTTTTAACAAGAAAATTTAAAAAGTAAAAAAAAAAATTAAAGCAAAAATAGAAAAAACTTATAGAATAAGGATATAAATAAATAAAATGGTTTTGTACAGCTATACAATACATTTTGAGCTAAGTGTTATTACAAAGTTTAAAAATAACATTTATAAGGTAACAGTTACAGTAAGCTAAAGTTAATTTACTGAATAAAAAATTTTTTATAAATTCACTGTAGGGTAAGTTTACTGTGTTTTAAAAATCTACAGTCAAGTACAACAATGTCCTAGGCATTCAAATTCACTTAAACCTCACTCACTGACTCACCCAGAATAAATTCTAGTTCCACAAGCTCCATTCACAGGAAGTGGCCAATATGGGTATTGTTTAATTTTAAAACCATGTTTTTACTCTAGATTTTATATGAGTAAATACATTTAGATACATAATACTTACCATTGTGTTACAATTGCCTGCAGTGTTCAGTGCAGTAACCTGCTGTACAGGTTTGTTCACACAATGATGAAATCACCTAATAATGCATTTCTTAGAACATATTTCCATTGAAGCAACACAGATATCTGTATCTTACTTTGAGCTCTCCTTATTATCAATAAATTATCATTTTATTCATTTTCACAAACTAAGTCATTAAATAAATTCTTGAGAATATGGATCTTTATATTTAAAATGAGTCTGATATCTGAAAAAGCCTTAAATTTTTGAAAGAATAGTTTATATGAACTTTGAATTTCTATTTGAAAGAAAAAAAGCATGTACAATAACTCAAGTACTTTTTAAAAAATCCTAACAAATGAGAACAAAAGTTCCAGCCTAACTTTTACCTGGATTAACCTCCCTGTTCTGTCCCATAGCCGTCTCTTAATGATGAGTCAATGAATGTTCACTGGACTTAGTTACGAGCCACTCTTGCTTGTCATTTAAATGTTTAAAAAATAACTGAATAAGTGAAAACTCAAGAGTCGTATAAAATGGAAGAGGTAGTTCTGTACACAGAAGGTTGGAAGCTCAGTTCCTAGGGTCAGAATTAGTAAACACATGTGACTGCAAAAAGTCAACCTAATAGACTAGAGCAAAGAAGCATCAACCAGGCAGAATGACTTACAATACCATTTATAAGCTAGCAACTCCCAACTTGGTCTTTAGCCTAGGTTTTGTACTGAGCCCCTCATATATCCAACAATCTGCTTGATATATCCACTTTTGTGTTTCACCAGTATTTCATCTCAACATGTTCAGAAGTAAACTCTTAAATTGCAACTCCTAAAAATTAAAGTTTCTCCTACTTCAATAAATTATGCTAAATCTATCCAAATGCTCAAACCAAGACTGAAAGATTTTTTTTAACTCCTGGGTACCCTGCCACCCATATTTGTTCACAGACTATTATAAAATTTGATATAAAATGTACATATCTCAAATGGATAAACTTCTCCCTCCTGCCACCATTATAGTCTAAGCCACCATTCTCTCTAGTCTGGATTAGGGCTATACAAATTCAGACAGTAGAAACTAAGTTAGAAATTCCAGCTAGGTAAAAATTGCAATTATAAGTTATGAGACACACTGCTTCTCTAAACAGAGATAGATAAATTATAAAGTGTAAAATTTATGTTAAAGGCCCATATGGGGAAAAACATGATAAATATTTGCATGGATCAACATGCAGAAGAAACTCCAAGTGTGAGCAAGGCTTAAGCCACATACATACTGGTCTCTGTGTTCAAAATCAGGCAGAGGTACCTGGGAGTTCAGGTTTATGGGGTAATAGAAACTAAGGATTCCAAGTGAGATAGTGAGCCAGATGTAAACTCAATGTTTGAAGCCAGGAGCTATAGTAGGACTGTCAGTCACAGGAAAGAAGGGCCACAGAATCCGATGCAGGTCACTTTCCAGGGCTACAGAAGGCTTCAAGTCTGCTGCTGGGATTTCTAATATAACCACTAAAAGTATGAAAATGGTAGGGACATGGATGAAATTGGAAATCATCATTCTCAGTAAACTATCGCAAGAACAAAAAACCAAACACTGCATATTCTCACTCATAGGTGGGAATTGAACAATGAGAACACATGGACACAGGAAGGGGAACATCACACTCTGGGGACTGTTGTGGGGTGGGGGGAGGGGGGAGGGATAGCATTGGGAGATATACCTAATGCTAGATGAGGAGTTAGTGGGTGCAGCGCACCAGCATGACACATGTATACATATGTAACTAACCTGCACATTGTGCACATGTACCCTAAAACTTAAAGTACAATAATAATAAATAAATAAATTTAAAAAAATAAAAATAAAAAATAAAAAAATAAAAAAATAAAAAAAAGAAAATGGGATGAGTAAAAATGTGAATTAGAAAGAAAGCTAGACATTAAAAAATGAACAGAGTAGGTAGGACAAAAAAGTTACAAAATAGTATGTCAGATATAAACATGTCAGCAATAATATAAAATAAAAATTGGCTTACTGTAGTTAAAAGATAAAGTTCATAACTTTATCTTTTTTTTAAAAAAAATCAGGGATCTACTTTCTGTCAATGGATTATATCCAGGGATAAAAGTAAGGTTCTCAAATATGACCTGATAAAGATATTTACAAAGTACTACAGCAGACATCACTCTTAATGGTAAAATATTATATTCTTCCAGAGATCAGTGTCTGTCAGACAAGAATTTTTGTGAGCGACACTGTAACATTAATCTTAGCTACATCAGTAACACAAAAAATAGGAGAAACAACAAAATAAATATTGGAAAAGAACACCTACAGCCTCCTCCAGTTATAGATTACATGACTTTGTATATAGAAAATAGAGCAAAATATTTAGAGAAAACCTAATGGAAAGGACAAATAAATTTAGCAAGGTTACTGAATATAAGGTAAATAAACAAATGTCTATTTTGTTTCTATAAACTAGTAACAAACAATTTAGAAAACATAACTGATTTATGATACATTTAGAATAGCACAAATAATATAAAATATCTAGAAATAAGCTTAATTAAAAATAAGCAAAAATCATCACAAAGCAAGAAAGCATTGTTAAAAGCAATTTCAAAAGAACTAAATAAATGGAAAAATGTACAATATTCATGAGTAAATTATTAAATGTGCTAAGGATGCCAATTTTATAAAAGTTGATTAATATAATCAAAATAATCCCAATCAAAATATAGTCAATATTTGTGTGGAAATTATCAAGGTTATTCCAAAACTATTTGGAAATTCAAAGGCATATGAACACCCAAGTTAATACTGAAGTAGAAGTACAGACTTAGAGAATATGTAGTAGCAGATATAAATACATACTATTAACTTATTTTTAGTGTGATATTGATGCAAGATTCACGATGGGATAATAAAACAAATTAGAAACCCCAGAAACAGACTCATACATCTCTAAGAAAAAGTAAGGAAAATGGTTTTATATATGCATAGAAATACTCCTGATCAATGAAAATACCAAGAACTATATAAAGATATTAATCAAAAGAAGCAATGCATAAAAGATTATATAAAGTATGACATCATTTATATAATAAGGCAAGTAAATAAACTTTAAAAACATGTAGTTATGCATAAATAGATTGTAAAAATATAAAGAAAAACAGGGGTATCATTGCCACAACAGCCAGTGATAACCTCTAGATAGGATGGAGAAGGTTGTGATAAAAGATAGGCATAATGTTATTAAAAGAACAAAAAAAAATTAAACATAAAGGTAAAAAACAAACTTGCTTTAAAATTTATTTTACTGTTAATAATTAAAAATCAATCTATAGAGTGAGACAAGGTATTGGAACACATATAACAAAATAATTTATATCCAAAGAATATATTCATACAAATCAATTGCAAAAAGACAGAAGCCCCAATTAAAAAGGCCAAAATAATTAAAAAGGAATCTGAAAAAGGAGAAATTCCAAATGATGTAAAAACAAAGGAAAATATGCTCAACTTCATTAGTGATCAGTGAAAGAAAATTAAATCCAAAAGGAGATTTATAGACACCATGATTGAATAATTTGCCTAAAAATAGAAACTGATAATACATAGTATTAGTGATAATGCAAGGCAGCTGGAACTTTCATACACTTATGATGGGGGTGTAAGTTGAAATGACTGCCTTGGATCACAGTGGTTTTCTACTACTGTAGAACATAAGCAAACATTATGATCAATTACACTTCTAAATATATTTATTTTAGAAAGGTGTCCACACACACCAAGAGTCACATAGAATAATGTTCATAACACCATTAATTATAATAATCCAAGACTAGAGAAATATGTCTTTTAATCAACATTTAAAAAATAAATTGTTGGTATAGTCACACAACAGAATACAATATAGCAAGAACAATGAATGAAATGTAACTAAATGCAGCATCAGAGTGGACATTATAAATATAATGATGAGTAAAACAACATGTGGAACATATAACAGCTTTCTAGTAATATAAAATTTTAAAACAATCAAAAGTTAATTACAAAACTTAGAGATAAATGTTTTGGTAGTAAAAAATAAAAATGTAGCAAGAAAATGGTAAAATCAAGACAGTGCTTACCTTTGGAGAGGATGAAGGATGGAGGATATATGGATTATTCAGGGCCATCAGAGGGCCTTGGAAATGTCACCATATGACACCATTTCTTAACTTTGGTATTATTTGCATAAGTATTCCTAAATAATAAATAATGAAGCTCTTTATTCACTTCTATAAAGCTACTATATTTCAGTGAAAACTATAATAGGCCAATGTACCTCTTGGAAGTATCCAACTGAACAAGACCATGTCCTAGGTTCGTACTCTAAACTGAACAAACCAAAATAAGGGATGAGAACTTTCTAGCCCTTTCCTGATACAATGACAGATGCCTCATAATTACAAAGGATCTGGAGATGCTAGATTATAGGTAATGAAATCAACATAGTGGTCCACAAATATTATTTTAAAAAATAGATATAAGATGCAGTATATATAATAAAGTAATTTTATGAAACATGTTTTAATTTTTATTTGTACATGTGTACATATAGACATGTGCTGAGTAACAAGGGACTATATATTTCTCAGCATAGCATAGGGGAAAATATTGATAAATACTACTACACTGGGTGAGGAGAGTACTATCAAGCTCACATTCCCTTTGGATAGTAACTTTTAATTAATTTTTTTAGACAAAGAGAATATAAACTACTCTGTAAAAGATAACATATATCTAAAAATAGTAGAGCATGGTGGTGTGTGCCTGTAGTCTTAGCTACTGGGAGGATTATTTGAGTCCAGGAAGTTGAGGCTGCAGTGAGTTGTGATCACTCCACTGCACTACAGCCTGGGTGACAGAGTGAGACCTTGTCTAAAAAAAAAAAAAAAAAGGATATGTACATATTATTTCTTATATTTATTTATACATGTAAACATGTTTTATTTATATGTATGTATACATATAATGCATATTTGAGGGGAGAAAACATGAAGCTTGCAGGATGGAAGCTTATTAATAATTACCATTTATAACTGTCTAAGCTTGAAAATGTTCAAAAACCATATGGGGGGGGAGTTGCCAATTTTGAAACACATGATAATGAGCAAGAATCTTAAGGATGATATAGAAATAACATTATTTCTGGCAATTAATTACAACACAGCAAAGGCATACATGCTTGAAAATAATGAGTTCACAGGTTATCAGAAATTATCACTTCCAACATAAATTCTGGGTTAAGAATTCAGTGAGTTTTGAAACATTCTACATGAAATTAGATTCTGGAGTTGAGTTATATTTTAAAAGTTAGTTAAGCAACTTATTTCACTAGTAGTGAGGTTTTTTTAGTGTTATATAATGGCCTGTGAAATTACAGAGCTGGTAAAATCTATTTAGTGCTTTTTGATATCTGGAAATCATGACTAACTGGAAGGAAATACAAGTAGAGGCTGGAAAGTTTTCCTTACCTACTCAAGTGAAAGAGTGACTGATTTAAAGAGTGAATTATTTTTCTTAGAGACTAAGCTATCTTTTAAATAGAGAGGAACTTTTAAATAGACAGAAACTCCCCAATTCTCAAATTTCTAGGGAGAGGTATCTTTGTCAGGTCTATATGACAATATTGCCAAAAATTATTTAATCACGTTCATGAGAACATTAAGAAGCAGAAAGGAGTGGAGCCTTCCCAGAATCTCCATTAAAGCAGTCCATCATTACCTGTGTGAGGTTGCACAAGACACCATCCAAACTAAATTAGCCCGAGCCTAAAAAATTTGATACATAGCAACGAAAGACAAAGCACATGACAATGAATGTTAAACTATACAAAACTCATAAATAGATCATGTTTTTTTAAATTTGTTTCTTTTTCTCTTCCTCTTCTAAAATTTGTGCTTAATGGAAACATTATATCCAAATATTTAACTCAATTGTCTACAAACACCAAATACTTTCCAGTATGTATACACACTGGAAGACATGATATATACATCATGGGTTTAGATTTATTCTCAAACAATGCTGCAAGAAAGACATGTGTTTTATTCACATCGTGTAGAAGAGAAAGCAAAGAAGTTTTAAAATGCAAAATATATCATTAAAAAAATCCTCAGGCAACTATACCAGAGAGAAGATTGAGAATATATGTTTTACTTCTATCCCTGCTAAATCCTCATAAAATGAAAATGAAGAGACATAAAATACAATAAATTAATAAATCTATAGCAATATTAAGAATGAGAAGGGAAACTTCAATAGACCAAAGATTCTAAAATTTTCCTAGAATACATAGATAACATGGAGGAATTTTAGCCTACAACAAAAGAGAGCTTTTTATTGGACTTGGGAGCCATTCATTTTAGTGATAAAAAATGGGAGTCTCTAAACTCAAAGCTATCAAGATTACAGAATAGGAATGGTGGTTGTGTAGAAATCAAGAGGAAGAATTGATTTTTTTTTCTAACAGGATAGCTTCTTAAATTACCCTCCTATCTCTTCTCAATTTTGAGTCAGCAGAGTGTTTTTCCTCAGGCCAAAATGTAAGTACTGTTCCCTAAAGAAACGGGGGGAAAAAAAAGGAAGAAAGAAAGAAAAAATCTGCTTTGGAAAAACTAGAGCTGCTGATGTGAATCTTGTTGCAGAAAAATGCTCTTTTTAGTTATAGTGTGAATGTCATTTAAAAGTAGTCTTATTTCCAAATTTCTGCTTATATAACATCAGGGAAGTGCAGCCATCACACTTAAAAAGTCCACTGAAGAAATAGGTCTGAACAAGCAATAAGCTCTAATAGCCACTTATATTAAGTATGCTATTGTTTTTAAAGACAAATCAGAGTTTTGAAAGTAAAAACAAAACAAAAAAAGTTAAGGATTTAAAAAAAGAACGATTGTGCATTAAAAAACATCTATAAATTTGGAGATGATAAGGAAACAATAATTCAAGAAAGAAATTTTAAAAGATTAGTCATATTTTATGAAAATATGTGGCTTATACAGTTCTACTTCTGGGAACAAATAACTGATGGAGAGTTGCCCTCTTGCCATAAATAATGAGAAACTGAATAAAATAAATGACATGCTTTATACTTTTGGACATCAGGCAGAACAGAACTGTGACCTTTGCAAGAAGAAAAACAAAGGCAACTTAAGTTTATTAGAGCTTTTTGTCTGGAGACAATTTATTGACCAAGGCATGGAGAGGTTGTCCAAACACAGTATGGTGGGCTCATTGAGTTGAGGAGATATTGAACAAAGTTCAGGATGGACAAGATATCTAGAGCTTAAAGAAAGGAGTAGGAGACAAAAATTGATACATAGAGAAAGAACTCCATAAATCAGCAAAGGAATGTTATTGAATGTTTATCTGAATAGTCACCTATGTTTCACGGGGAGAAACTCTGCAGGACAAGGCCAAGAACAGCCAGGAGCCGTAATATGGACAAATCCCACAATGATCTAAAAGACCTCTGAAATTTGACAAAAAGTGTGCTCAGAACTAAGACCTAAATACTAAGATGGTTTGTAGACATTCCAAAAGTGTGAAGCACTTGCAGTATGGTTAAATTTGTCAAAGTAAAAATGACACTGGACCTGTCCTAACATGCTTAAAAAAAATAAGACTTGACATCCAAATAGGAAGAGAGGAAGTCAAACTATCTTTCCTTGTAGATGAGAAAATTCTCTACCTAGAAAAACCCATAGTCTCTGCACAAAGGCTCCTAGATCTGATAAACCCATTCAGTAAAGTTTTAGGATACAAAATCAATGTACAAAAATCAGTAGCATTTCTATACACCAATAACATTCAGGCTGAGAACCAAATCAATAACACAATCACATTCACAGTAGACACAAAACCAATAAGATATCTAAGAATACAGCTAATGCAGGAAGTGAAAGATCTCTACAAGGAGAATTTAAAAACACTGCTGAAAGAAATCAGAGACAATACAAATAGAAAAAATACTCTGTGCTCATGGATAGGAAGAACCAATGCTGTGTAAAATGAATATACTGCCCAAAGCAATCTACAGATTCAACGCTATTACTATCAAACTACCAATGACATTTTTCACAGAATTAGAAAAAACTATTCTAAAATTCACTTGGAACCAAAAAGAGTCCAAATAATGAAAGCAATCCTTAGCAAAAAGAATAAAGCCAGAGGCATCACCCTACCTGATTTCAAACAATACTACAAGGCTATAGATAGACACATAGACCAATGGAACAGGTTAGAAAACCCAGAAGCAAAGCCGCACACCTGCAACCACCTAATCTTCTAAAAAGCTAACAATAACAAGCAAGAAAAGGATTCCCTATTCAATAAATGGTGCTAGGATAACTGGCTACCCATATGCAGAAGATTGAAACTGCACTGCTTTCTTTCACCATATACAAAAATCAACTCAAGATAAATTAAGCACTTAAAAGCAAAACCTGAAACTACAAAAGCCTAGATTCAGTCAGATGTAAGAGATTATGGGGGGAAATAGTAAAAACTCTAGAAGTAAACCTAGGAAATAGCATTCTGGACATCGACTCCAGCAAAGATTTCATAATGAAGACTCCAAAAGCCGTTGTAACAAAAACAAAACTTGACAAGTGGGTTCTAATTAAACTAGAACTTCTGCACAGCAACAGAAACAACAGAGTAAACAGACAAACTACACAATGGGATAAAATTTTTGCAAACTATGCATGTGACAAAGTTCTAATATCCAGAATCTATAAGAAATGTAAAAAAAAAAAAAAGAAAAAAAAAAACTTCAATGTAATATCCAGAATCTATAAGAAACTTAAAAAAAGAAAAAAAACACAACTCCATTAAAAAAATAAATGAGCAATGGACATGAACAGACACTTCTCAAGATAAGCCATACATTGGCCAAGAAGCATATGAAACATTGCTCAACATCACTAATCATTAGTGAAATGCAAATCAAAACCACCATGAGATACCATCTCACACCAATCAGAATGGCTGTTATTAAAAAAAAAAAAATAGGACAGGCACGGTGGCTCACGCCTGTAGTCCCAGCATGTTGGGAGACTGAGACAGGTGAATAACTTGAGGTCAGGAGTTCAAGACCAGCCTGGCTAACATGGTGAAACCCTATCTCTACTAAAAATACAAAAATTAGCTGGGTGTGGTATGCATGCCTGTAATCACAGCTACTTGGGAGGCTGAGGCACAAGAATCGCTTGAACCTGGGAGGTGGAGGTTGTTGTGAACAGAGATCCTGCCACTGCACTCCAGCCTGGGTGACAGAATGAGACTCTGTCTCAAAAATAATAATAGTAATAATATAAAAGTAAAAAAATAACACATGCTGGCAAGGTTGTGGAGAAAAGGAAACATTTATACACTGCTGGTGGAAATGTAAATTAGTTCAGCCTCTGTGGAAAGCAGATTTTTCAAGATTTCTCAGAGAACTTAAAATACAACTACCATTCGAATCTGCAATCCCATTACTGAGTATAAGCCCAAAGAAATATAAATTGTTCTACTACAAAGACATACACATGTTTATGTTCATCACTGTACTATTCCTAATAGGAAAGACATGAAATCAACCTAGATGCCCATCAATGGTGGACTGGACAAAGAAAATGTGTTATATACAACATGGAATTCACAGCCATTAAGAAAAAAATTTGTGTCCTTTGCAGCAACATGGATAGAGTGGAGGCCATTATCTTAAGCGAATTAATGCAGGAACAGAAAACTACATACCACATGTTCTCACTTGTAAGTGGGAGCCAAACATTGAGTACACGTGGATACAAAGAAGGCAACAATAGACAGCAGGGCCTACTGAGGGTGGAGGATGGGAGGAAGATGAGGATAGAAAAACCACCTACCCAGAACTATACTCATTATCTGGGTGACAAAATAATCTATACACCAAATCTCTGCAACATGTAATTTACCCATGTAGCAAACCTGAACTTGTAACCCCTGAACCTAAAATAAAAGTTGGAAAGAAAAAAAAACAAGGCTTGAAAGAATCAACATGATCCACTAGTCACTAAATTCTAGCTGTCAAAAACTTCTTTTAAAAGAAGAAAAAGGAGTCCAAACATTTAAAACATGCTGTATAGAATGAAAATTTACCAGATTTGTGAAAAAGTGATACAAAAGGATACATAATTAGAAAGAAAAAATAGTTAATAGAAAATTAAAGAACCATAAATGAGAGACAAGATGGAAATAGTAGACAATCACTTCATAAAGCTCTTATACATATGCCCAAGGATTTAAATAAATACATAAAGAAAATAGCATAGACATGGAAGGTACAAATGAGACAAAAAAATGAAACTTGTATAGCTGAAAAATACAATATCTGAAGTAAAAAATTCAATGAATATAATAAAAAGTAGATTAGACATCAGCAAAAACGTATCAGTGAGCTCTTAAATGGCATTAGAACTTATCAAAAATAAAGCCCAAAGAGAAAAAAATGATAAATATTAACAAAATCAGTAAATTGTAAGACAATATCTTGTCATCTAACATAAGGTGACAGAAAAAGATTGGAAGAAATGATAGCCTAGCTTGTTCCAAATATGAATTTAAAAACCTATAAAGCAAAATAAATATAAACAAAACCAAGAAACCCAAAGAAGAATACATATAAATAAAACCACCTCCACAAAAAACACAGAATTAAATTGTTGAAACATAGCAATATAAAAAATTATCAAAGCTAATAGAAAAAAAGAAAGATATAGCAGATTCAAAGGAACAAAGGTAACACTGAAAACAGACTTATCATAAAACAAATATAAGCTAGAGGCATTAAAACAAAACATTTACCCAGTGAAAATAGTCTTCAAAAAGAAATTGAGATAAATAAGCCTCTAGAAAAACAAAAGTTGAGAGAGTGTATCACTAGCAGACCTATACTTTCATAAATATTAAGGCAAATTTTCAGGCATAAGAAAACTATACTGAGTAGAAAAGAATAAATAAGGTCAGAAATAGTAAATATGTAGATAAATATTAAAGACCTTTTTACTTTTATAAATTTATTTAAAAGTTAATTGTTCAAAGTGAAAGCAGGCCAGGAACAGTGGCTCATGCCTGCAATCTCAGCCCTTTGGGAGGCTGACGTGGGAAAATTGTTTGAGTTCAGGCATCTGAGAGCAGCCTGGGCAACATGGTGAGGTCCCATCCATACAAAAAAATTTAAAAATCAGCCAAGTGTGGTGGTGGTGTGCACCTGTTGAACTAGCTACTTTGGAGGCTGAAGTGGGAGGATTGCTTGAGCCCAGGAAGTAAAGGCCACAGTAAGCCATATCGTGCCAGTGCACTCTAACCTCGGTGACAGAGAGAGAGAGAGAGAGAGAGAGAGAGAGAGAGAGAGAGAGAGAGCGCCTGTCTCAAAAAATAAAAGAAAAAAAGAAAAAGAAAAAAAAGTGAAAGCAGTACCAATGTAATTAGGTGTTTAATACACCCATAGAAATAACATTTATGACATAAAAAGACAAAAGGTGGAAGGAAGAAGATAAAATAACTGTTTCAAAATTCTGTCTATCATTATACACAAAGTGGTAGAATATTAACTGAAATTAGATTGTGATAAGTTAAAGATGCATAGAGTAAATCATAGAACTCTCAGTTATAAAGTAATGCACTTTCAGAAAGATGGAATAGACATACTTATTCTTTCCACTAAGTAAAGCTAGAAACCCTTATCATTATAAATTTAAAAAAAAACATAAGAAAACTGGCAAAAGTGAAGAGAAGTCAGGGCAGCTCATAACTTGGGGGATAACATGGTAGTGAGCTCTTTGGCTCCCTGGATTTTCTTTTTTCCTTCTATATCCTAGACTGAAAATCAAAGAAGCTGGCCACCCAGAAACACCAGTGGGCACAGACAAATTAAAAAGATGGAGAAGGCAAGAAAAGTCAGCTTTTCTTAGCCAAGGGATCAGAAAAGAGGCAGGCTAGACTGTCACAAATCTTTAGATGAAAACCACTCTTATCCACAGAATAAAATAAAATGTGGCTGTAACCCAAAACCCACCAATAAAGGCCAAGTGGAGAGCACAGATTCCACCCTTCCCAGGCATTAGTGAAGCATCCCAAAGCCACCACCAGTGTGTTGTTGGAGAAGAATGAGTGAGAAGCTAGAATGCTCAACGCTGTTGGGTAGTGACAAAGCTCCCA
Source organism: Homo sapiens (assembly GCF_000001405.40). Classification (NCBI taxonomy): domain Eukaryota; kingdom Metazoa; phylum Chordata; class Mammalia; order Primates; family Hominidae; genus Homo; species Homo sapiens. Next base: position 37,308,854 of record NC_000011.10, on the reverse strand, counting down.
AACCCCATGATATCAGTGGAGACCACAAGAGGAGCCTGACTTCAACTCCCACTCAGTGGTACTTAGGCACTCCTCCCTTTCTTTGCTGGGGTGGTATCAGCAGAGTTTTAGTGGAGAGCCTAAAATTCCACCTTCATCAGTAGTAAAAAAGGCTCCCTCTCTCGTCCTAGTTAGGGTATTAATCATGGATGCCAACCGGAGAACCTGGATCTCCAGCCCTACCTGGCAGTAGCAAGGAAATGACCCCATTTATCCATCAGAGAAGTGTCAGAGTTGGCCATCTATGAAGTGTGCAAGTAGTACACAAGGCTATGCCCTCACTTCTGACAACAAATGCAAGTTTAGAGATGTTCAAGACCATCTTCTTATGAGACCAGTTGAAAGTTCAAATGTTCACACGACCACCCTCAGGTTCTATAATTCATTTGAAAAGCTAAAAAATTCACTGAAAGCTATCACACTCTTTAGTAAAGTGTATTACTGACAGATAATAAACTATATAGATAGATATTATGGATTATATTATAGAAATCAACCATAGGAAGAGATACATGAGCCTGAGCCCAGAAAAATGCCAAGTGTGATGCTTCCAATTATATTCTCCCAGTGTAGTCATGAATAGAACTCACTTTCCCCAGCAATGATGTGTGACTATATACACAAAGTATTGCCAACCAAGGAAGTTCACCTGTGCTTTGGTGTCCAGAGTTTTTATTGGCACTCAGTCATGTAGACATTATTGGCCACTGGCACAGCTGACTTTAGTTTCCAGCCCCTCTGGAGACCAAGCTGATATTGCCTAACCCAAAGCCCTCACCAGAAATGTGAAAAATTCCAAATATTTAAAAACAATATACTTCCAGAGGACTCATAGATAAAAAAGAAATTAAAAGAGAAATTAGAAATTGTTTTATCTGAATTAAAAGGAAAACAAAGCATATCAAGAATTGTGAAATGCAGCTAAGGTGGAATAAAGCTAAATACACAGAAACACATACATATACATATATATGCATATCTATGAAATATCTACATATATATGAAGTATTTAGGTATTCTTGGAATTAATAAGCATATCTATATGTATACTTTTATGCTTTTCCAAATTTTTCTATCTATATTTGTCATCATGTTGCATACATTTAATCACATCAGATTATATTGCTTCCTGTATGAATCCAATTATCCTACAGCATTATGTCTTAAATAATATTGCATAATAAAATGTATACTAGAAACTAAATTTTAATTTTTGAAATAAAATTGTAGACAAGTCATAAACTATTTTTTATATTTTATTTTACAGTGTCAATGCTCTAAAATTTGACACATTATAAAAGCTGAAGTTTGGATGATAGAGTATGGTGAGAGAGAGGTAGAAGAAAGTGAGTAAGCAAGAATAAATGTTTCTCTGTTAAAATTATTAAAGTGTTTGATAAAAAATTAAAAGAAAGAGAAAATTATGTGGTTATTTGGCATAGACTAAAACAGAAAAGAGAGATGGAGCAGTTTAAGCTAAATTCTCTTTCTCTTAAATAAGTCAATACATAAAAAATAAAGATATAAATGAATAAAAGTATAAATATATTATCTACAGTTATGGAAGTACCTACAGAACAAAAAATTGCTTACCATAATTACCTCTGGAAAGTGGAATTGGATTTTAGGTAGAGGAAGGTAAACTTTTTTCCTTTTTTATGTTTCTATACCATATGGGGAAAAAATCTGAATCTATCTATATATCTACCTCTTAAAGACAACATCCTGGTAGTTTAGTGGTAGCTATTCCTTAGAATAAGATAAGGGTTTTCATTTATTTAAACTATGAGAACATACTACCTGTATCTAATCATATTAAACCAACAAAAAGAAAGAGAAAAGAAAAGAAAAACTTGTCATTGGATATGCATCTCAAGTATTTTTGTTGTTGTTCTTATTTTATCTTACTGTTGATTTTATCCTTATCTGTTTGACCAGCAATGTGACTGAATTTTTTATAGAAAATCAATATTAACTACCTACTTCCAAATGACAGGCAAATACACCAACAGTCCTATAAAAGCCACATTCCTGTGTCAAGAGAAGCAGCCTGTATATTGCAACGTATTTCTACATACAGAAATAGGTGTGTGTGTGTGTGTGTGTGGATATATGTGTTTATACAGTTCTTTAAGCAGTCTTGTTATACATTTAAAAATTCCAGGTATAAATTTACTTTTCAGGACTTGATCCAATTATCAGTGATGTAAATTTAGCTTAATCAAAAGTATAAAGATGTAATAGATGCTATCAGATATCCAAACACTCAACTGTTGCAGATGGAAAACAAATCTTTCTGTGGTGTATGGCATATTTCACCTTTCTTCCAGTTGGTTTTAGACTGTGTAAGCAGACTCTTGCATATAGGTTTAGAAACCAGTAAAACACAGATAAATTCTATTGGGGCATGTTTTGTATGAGTACTTTTAATTTTCTTTTTTCTTTCTATTTTATAGTTGTGTATTTTTCCTTGAGTCTTATCGCCATTATCAATAGTGTCAATAGGCTTGTAATATTATAGTGTTATAAGAAAGAGAAATTAAGCAGAAGAGTGGGAAGCAGGAACACAAAAGCTGTTATGTAACTCCTCCATTGTTCAATTTAAAGAGCATTTTTTGAGTAAATAGCACGTTGTCTTTTGCTTCCATAACTGTACATTTGAGAATGACTGATGACTTAACAAATTTCTTTGTGTTCAGCAGCCCACAGAGTGAAATGCACTGTGTGCTGCTATGATTGGCCTGGAGGTGTACAATTCATCTCACTTGATAAGAGTTTGTGATCAGTTTTCCAGTCGGTTTTCTTCTTGGTGCTTCTCATCTAATTTCTCATCTCTTAATTGCTTTATATCTTGTTTGCAGCATGCATTATCATCCATGCTTGTTCCTAAAAGTGTTGTAACACAGTTTCACTATCTAGAAGAGCTTAAAATGACAGAAATGTATTCTCTCACCGCCCTGGAGTCTAGAAATCCAAAAACAAGGTGTTGGCAGCATCATGCTCTCTCTGAAAAGTCTGGGGGAGAATCTGTTCCATGTCTTTCCCTTAGATTTTGGTGTTGTCAGCACTCCCTGAAAATCTTAGTTTGAAGAGGCTCCACTCCAATGTCTATGTCTCATTAATGGCCACCTTCTCCTTCGGTCTCTGTTTCTGTGTCTCTTTCACTCTTCTTAAAAGGGTACCAGTCATATTGGATTCCTTAATCCAGTACGGAGTAGGACCCACCCGACTGTTATATGGTCTAATTTTAACTAATTACATGTGTAGTGACCTTATTTTCAAACAAAATTATATTTTGAACTACTAGGTGTTAGTAATTTAGCATAACTTTTAGGGGACAAAATTCAGCACACAACACTTTCCCAGGAGGAACATGTCTGAGAATATCCTACTAATATGGTTTGACTGTGTCCCCACCCAAATCTCATCTTGAACTGTAGCTCAGGGACCCAGTGGGAGGTAACTGAATCAAGATTTTTCTTGCTGTTCTCCTGAGAGTGAATAAGTTGCATGCAATCTGATTGTTTTATAAAGGTGAGTATCCCTGAACAAGCTCTATTCTCTTGTTGACTCCATGTGAAATATGGCTTTCACCTTCTACCATGATTGTGAGACCTCCCCAGTCATGTGAAACTGTGAGTTCATTAAACGTCATTGTTTTGTAAATGGCCCAGGCTCAGTTATGTCTTTATCAGCAGTGTGAAAATGGACTAATACAGTAAATTAGTACCAGTAGAGTGGGGCACTGCTGAAAAGATATCCAAGAATGTGGAAGAAACTTTGGAACTGGGTAACAGGCAGAGGTTGGAATAGTTTGGAGGGCTCAGAAGAAAACAGGAAAATGTGGGAAAGTTTGGAACTCCCTAGAGACTTGTTGAGCAGTTTTGACCAAAATGCTGATAATGAAATTGACAACGAAATCCAAGCTGAGGTGGTCTCAGATGAAGATGAGGAACTTATCAGGAACTGAAGCAAAGTTGACTCTTGTTATGTTTCAGCAAAGAAACTGGAAGCATTTTACCTCTGCCCTAGAGATCTGTGGAACTTTGAACTTGAGAGAGATGATTTAGGATATCTGGTGGAAGAAATGTCTAAGCAGCAAAGCATTTAAAAGGTGACTTAGTTGCTGTTCAAGGCATTCAGTTTTAAAAGGGAAACAGCATAAAAGTTTGGAAAATTTGCAGCCTGACAATATGACAAGTTAATGGGTGCAGCACACCAACATGGCACATGTATACATATGTAACTAACGTGCACGTTGTGCACATGTACCCTCAAACTTAAAGTATAATAAAAAAAGAAAAAGAAAAGAAAATCCCATTTTCTGATGAGAATTTCAAGCTGGCTTCAGAAATTTGCATAAGTAAGGAGTACCTGAATGTTAATCACCAAGACAATGGGTAAAATATCTCCAGGATATGTCAGAGACCTTTGCAGCAGTGCCTCTCATCAGAGTCCTGGAGGCTTCAGAGGAATAAATGGTTTCCTGGACCAGGCCCAGGGTCCCTCTGCTGTGTTCAGCCTAGGGACTTGGTGCACTGCTTCCCAGCCATTCCAGCCATGACTAAAAGGAGCCAAGGTACAGCTCAGGCCATGGCTTCAGAGCATGCAATCCCCAGGCCATGGGAGCTTTCATGTGGTGTCAAGCCTGTGGGTCCACAGAAGTCAAGAAGTAAGGTTTAGAAACCTCCATCTAGATTTCAGGGGATATATCGAAAATGTCTAGGCAGAAGTTTGCTTCAGGGTCAGGGCACTCATGGAAAACCTCTGTTAAGGCAGTACAGAAGGGAAATGTGGGGTGGGCACCCCCTCACCAAGTCCCCACTGGGGTGCTGCCTAGTGGAGCTGTGAGAAGAGGGTCACTGTCCTACAGATGCTGGAATGGTAGATACACTGACAACTGGAACCATGCACCTGGAAAAGCTGCAGACACTCAATGCCAGCCTGTGAAATCAGCTGGGAGGGAGGCTGTACCCTCCAAAGCCACAGGGCTGGAGCTGCCCAAGACCATGGGAACCCACCTCTCGCATCAGTATGGCCTGTATGTGAGACATGGAGTCAAAGGAGATCATTTTGGAGGTTTAAGATGTGACTGCCCTGCTTGATTTCGGACTTGCATGGGGCCTTTAGCCCCTTTGTTTTGGACAATTTCTCCCATTTAGAATGGGTGTATTTATCCAGTGCCTGTACCCCCATTGTATTTAGGAAGTAACTAACTTGCTTTTGATTTTACTGGCTCATAGGCAGAAGGGACTTCTTTGTCTCAGATGAGACTTTGGACTGTGGGCTTTTGGGTTAATGCTGAAATGAGTTAAGATTTTGGGGAACTGTTGGGAAGGCATGATTGCTTTCAAAATGTGAGGATGAGATTTGGGAGGGCCAAGGGTGAGATGATAAGGTTTGGCTGTGTCCCCACCCAAATATCAACTTGAACTGTAGCTCCTACAATTCCCATATGTGGGAGGGACTGGTTGGGAGCTAACTGAATCATGGGGGAGGGTCTTTCCTGTGCTATCATCCTGATAGTAAATAAGTCTCAGGAGATCTGATGGCTTTATAAAGGGAAGTTTCCCTGCACAAAGGTGCCTTCCCCTTCCACCATGATTGTGAGGCCTCCCCACCCACATGGAACTGTGAGTCCATTAAACCTCTTTCTTTTGTAAATTGTCCAGCCTCAGGTATGTCTTTGTAAGTGGCATGAAAATGTACTAATACACCTACCAAAAGTCCTATATCAGAATTCCTACTTGGTGGCTGGGCACAGTGGCTCATGCCTGTAATCCCAGCACTTTGGGAGGCTGAAGTGGAAGGATTGCTTGAGCTCAGGAGTTTGAGACCAGCCTCGGCAACATGGCAAAATCCTGTCTCTACTAAAAATGCAAAAGTTAGCCAGGTGTAGTGGCATGCACCTGGAGTCTTTGCTACTCGGGAGGCTAAGGTGGGAGGATCACTTGAGCCCAAGAGGTGGAGGTTGCAGTGAGCAGTAATTATGCCACTGCATTCCAGCCTGGGCAGCAGAGCCAGTTGCTGTCAAAAAAAAAAAAAAGGCTTGTCTATATTTTCTTTGAACTCATCGACACAACCAATACTTTTCATAACCACTGACTGATTAAAAACAGGCAAGTATATTTCATTAGAGTTTGAGGATATCACTAATCCTTCTTTTTCAGATTTATTACTTGTTCTATATTTGATGTGATTCCCATCTTATTCTTGGCTCCATGTCTCATTTACATAAACTAGGTCACATTATTTTTTATACTATGGCTAGGGATACCACTGCCTAGGCTGTGTTTGCTATTTTCCTCATCTTTCCTATTTTATGTCACCTCCATTCAAGCCTCTCCAGTTATAAGTAGCAGATCCTCAAGAGGGTTCACACATACTTAGCTGCCTCTTCAAGGTCAGCTATATGCAAGCCACTTGGGGAGATGTCTTTTTACTGTCATCATTGCCAGTTCCTTCTATGAGTAGTTTGCTCTTCTCTGTACTGCATCATTCCTCCAGCACTGAGTGGCACAGCAATTCTACATGGGAAGTTAGGTGTGGCTGCTCACTGCCTGTCAAGTTGAATACACTAGAGGCAAAGTCTGGTGAAAGGAAAGGAATTTTTATTTCCAATGCCAAAAGTTGGAACAATGGCCAGACTCAAGTCACAGAGAAACCATCTCAAATTCTGGGGCTGATTGTGAGGTTTAACAAAGAAAAATTTGTATGGGAAATATGAAGTTTGTACAGGGTGCAGGTCTGCATGTCTTGTTTTAATAGCTATTTTGAGTGTCCAGAGGTCTGGTTGGCATTATCCTGACTTTGGCCCAGTGGTAGTGGACTAATTGTTCATGACTCCCCCTAAGTGGGAGGATTCCATAATGGGGGCTCTGTGCCTGATTTGTTTCAAATTTAGCCCCTGGAATTTCTAAGCAAGCATATAGTTAGATAAGTGTGCAGGGTGCCAGAGAGTGGCTGGTGGGAAAGGCAGAGAAACAAAGAGTTTCAAAGTACATTCAAAGGCCTCTTATGGGAAGTCAGGGACCCCGAACAGAGGGGACTGGCTGGAGCTGTGGCAGAGGAACATAAATTGTGAAGATTTCATCTTCATATGGACATTTATCAGTTCTCAAATAATACTTTTATAATTTCTTATGCCTGTCTTTACTTTAATCTCTTAATCCTGTTATCTTTGGAAGCTGAAGATATACATCACCTCAGGCCCACTGTGATAATTGTGTTAACTGTACAAATTGATTGTAAAACATGTGTGTTCGGGCAATATGAAATCAGTGAACCTTGAAAAAGAACAGAATTATAGCGATTTTTATGGAACAAGGGAAGACAACCATAAGGTCTGACTGCCTGCGGCATTGGGCAAAAAGAGCGATCTTTTTCTTCTTGCAGAGAGTGTATAAAAGCACATGTAAGTAGGAAACATATTGCTAAATTCTTTTCCTAGCAAGGAATATTAATATTAATACCCTAGGAAAAGAATGCATTCCTGGGGGGAGGTCTATAAACAGCTGCTCTGGGAACGTCTGTCTTGTGCATTTGAGATAAGGACTGAGATAAGCCCTGGTCTCCTGCAGAACCCTCAGTCTTACTAGGGTTGGGAAAACTCAACCCTGGTAAATTTGTGGTCAGACTGTTTCTCTGCTCTTGAACCCTGTTTTCTGTTGTTTAAGATGTTTATCAAGACAATATATGCACCGCTGAACATGGACCCTTATCAGTGGTTCTGCTTTTGCCCTTTGCCCTGTGATCCTTGTTGGACCCTTACCAGTGGTTCTGCTTTTGCCCTTTGTCCTGTTCCCTCAGAAGCATGTGATCTTTGTTAGACCCTTATTAGTGGTTCTGCTTTTTGCCCTTTGAAGCATGTGATCTTTGTACCTACTCCCTGTTCTTACACACCCTCCCTTTTGAAACCCTTAATAAAAACTTGCTGGTCTGAGACTTAGGCAGGCATCATGGTCCTACTGATATGCAATGTCAACCCTGGCAGCCCAGCTGTAAAATTCTTCCCTTTGTATTGTCTCTCTTTATTTCTCAGCCAGCCGACACTTATGAAAAATAGAAAGAACCTACACTGAAATATTGGGGGTGGGGCCCCCAATAAAGGCCACATTTTTGACTAGAGAAAAACATTTCAAAATATGGTTTAAGGCTAAGATACATGTTACAGTTATAATGAGTCTTCTGGGCAAAACCTCCACAATAGTCTATGGGAGAGTAAGAAGTTTGTACTCTTTATGCAATCATAATTATTATATCACTAGTGACCCAATAGTGGATATTTTTGATGTTTCTAGTCAATCCACAATGATTCCCCTGCTTTTGCAAAGACCTTCATATTATGTAGGCATATGCCACCAGAAACCATGTTTGTTTAACATGTCATAACCCTAGCTATGACATCATTCTTGGGTTCTATGCAAGATCCTGTAATCATGTAATAAAACCTCTGTTTCCTTAAACTTACTGAATTTTTTTTCTATTACTTACAGCTTGCAGTAATATATTGATTAAATGATACCATTATATCTTTAACCTCACAAATGTTTCTTAAAACCTCTTTATTATCTAGATCTGGCACCCCTCCTCACAGAGGACTAAACCAGTCCAGGGGACCAGGATGACATATACCATTACATCAGTTGCATTTTCTAATAATTTTATTTTATTTTCTACCTGCCTTGTATCCAAATGTATTTTCCTCATTCAACCAAAAGCAGAGCCCACATGCATATTAAGTCAAATAAATAAATATCCCATAGGGGAGCAGTGCGATGGTGGGAGGTCTGTCAGGGAGACACCAGAAGAGGAAACCTCAAAACAAATTAAAACCTCAATAAGAAGTTAAGCCAAGAGGTACCAGAAGAGTGAGCATAATACAGATTACAGTTGAAATAAATAGAACAGATAATAGAAAAATGATAGAGAGAAATAAATAAAACTAGGAGTTATTCATTGAAAATATCTACAAAATTGACAAAATATAGCTGGATTAAGAGAAGATTCAAATAAATAAAAACAGAAATGAAAAACAGACATATTTACTGATTCCACAGAAATATAAATGATTATAAGAGACCACTATAAATAATTATATACCAACAAATTGGACACATTAGAAGAAATGGAAATACTCCTAGAAACATACAACTTACCAAGATTAAATGATGATGAAATAAAAAGAAAAAACAAAACTTATAACTAGTAATAAGATTGAGACAAAATCAGAAAAACCCAGGGCCAGATGGCTTCACCAGTGAATTCTACCAGACATTTAAAGAATTAACACAATCATTCTCAAACTAAACCAAAAAACTGAAGAAGAGAGAATACTTCCAAACTGGGGTTCTGTGTCAGCATTCCTCTGACACCAAAGCCAAAGGCAGTATAAGAAAAGAAAAATATATGACAATATCTATGATGAATAAAGATGGAAAAATTCTTAATGAAATATTAGCAAACAAAACATTAAAATCATTACACACCATGATCAAGTAAAATTTATCCCTGGATGCAAAGAAAATTCATCACACAAATAACCATCTATGTGACACTCCATATTTGATGGTGAATTTTATGTGTCAACTTGACTGGGCTAAAAGGATGCCCAAGTAGCTGATAAAACATTACATCTAGGCTGGGCACAATGTCTCACGCCTGTAATCCCAGCACTTTGGGAGGCCGAGGTGGGTGGATCACTTGAGGTCAGGAGTTTGAGACCAGCCTGGCCAACATGGCAAAACCCTATCTCTACTAAAAATATAAAAATTAGTCAGGCATGGTGGAGCATGCCTGTAGTCCCATCTACTGGGGAGGCTGAGGCAGAAGAATGACTTGAACCTGAGAGGCGGAGGTTGCAGTGAGCTAAGATTATGCCATTGCATTCCAGGAGCCTGGGCAACAGAGCAAGACTCTGTCAAAAAAAAAATTATATCTGTCTGTGTCTGTGAGTTTTTTCTGGAAGAGATTAGCACTTGAATCAGTAGACCCAGTTAAGATCATTCTCAACAGTGCAGGAGGGCATCATCCAATCCCTCAAATGCCTGAATAGAACAAAATGTCATAGGAAGAGGAAATTTGCTTCTGTTTGAGCTAGGACATCTGCCTTCTCCTGATCTGGAACATCAGCACTCCCGGTTCTCAGGCTTTCAGACTCAGACTGAAACTTACATCATTCTAACCCCTGCTCCTCACCACTGCAATTAATTGTATGCAGTTATGATTTAATACTGCCTATTTACATTTGTTTACATTTCTCTTGAGTACCTATGATGCCATGCATGGTCTATAAGCGTCTGTATGCATAAGTTTTGATAACTTTTAACTCATGACTTCAGTCTCATACTGAATTACACCATTGGCTTTCCACGTTCTCTGGTTTGGAGAATCAGATTGTGTGACTTCTCAGCTTTCATAATTGCATCAGCCAATCCCTATTTTGTGGGTTTGTATGTGTATATACAAACAGTCATGTATTGCTTAACAATGGGGATATGGCCTGAGAAATATGTTGTTAGGTAATTTCATTGTTTTGTTGATATCATAGAGTGTATTTACACAATCCTAAATGGTATAGCCTATTATATACATAGGCTATGTGGTATTGCCTATTGTTCCTAGGCTATACATCTGTACTGCTTGTTACTGTATTGAATACTGTAGAAAATTGCAATACAATGGTAAGTGTTTGTATACCTAAAAGCAATATATACAGTTAGTTGTTGAGTGAAATGTCATTATTCAGCACACGATTGTGTGTGTGTATGTGGTGTGTGTATATATACACATACATACTGTTGACTCTTGAATAAGATGAGTTTAAACTGCACAGTTCCAAGTATATGCAGATTTTTAAAATAAATATATTGGCAAATTGGCAAATTTCTTGGAGGTTTGCAACAATTTGAAAGAAAACCCACTGATGGACAATGTAGTCTAGAAATAGCAAATAATAATAAAGTTAGATATGCAATAACTACAGAAAATATATGTGAATACTAGTCTATTTTATCATTTATAACTATAAAATAAATACAATTCTATTATAAAAAGTTAAAAGTTATCAAAACTTATGCATACAAACACTTATAGACCATGCATGGCATCCTATGTACTCAAGAGAAATGTAAACAAATGTAAATATTCAGCATTAAATCATAACTGCATAAAATTCATTGCAGTGCATATTGTACTACTGTAATAATTTTGTAGCCACCTCCTGCTGCTATTGCAATGAGCTTAAGTGTCATGAGTATCTACGTAAAACCCCACATGACCTTAGTCACTCCACATGAGCAGTTTGTCTCTCCAGAAAATTGTGTATCACAGTGAAAAGTGACCTATTGCAGTTCTCGTGTATTTTTCATCATGTTTAGTCCAATATGGTAAACCTCAAATAACACCAAGGTGCACATATGAAGCACCTCTAGTGATATTGGAAGTGCTACAAGAAGCAGAGAAAAGTCATGACAGTAGCCCCAAAAAGTTAAACTTCTTGATATGTACCTTAGATTGAGGTCTACAGCTGCAGTTGCCTATCATTTCAGACATATGATTCATTTTGTAAACCAATGATGTAAACTTATAGTATCAATCATTACAGCTCTATAAAGGTATTTTCTCTTCTTTATGATTTTCTAAATATTTTCTTTTCTCTAGCTTATTTTATTGTAAGAATACAGTATATAATACATATAACATACAAAATATGTACTAATTGACTGTTTATGTTATTGGTAAGGCTTCCAGTCAACAGTAGCATATCAGTAGTTAAGTTTTGGAGGATTCAAAAGTAGTATGTGGATTTTTGACTCTGTAAGAGGGCCTGTACCCCACATTGTTCAAGGGCTGACTGTATAAATTATTGGTCTATTTTTCTGGAGAACCCTGAGCAATATATCACATTAACAGAAAAAAAAATCTATAAATATCTTATGATTATCTCAAGAGATGCAAAAAATTTTCATCTGACAAAATTTAACAGCCTTTCATGATAAAAATGCTTAAAAAACTAGGAAGAGAGAAACTGTCTCAACATAATGAAGGTTATAAATAAATGTCTACGTTAACATCATACTCAACAGTGAAAATCTGAAAGCTTTTCCTATAAGATCAGAAATAAGGCAATAATGCCCACTCTCATCACTTCTATTCAGTGTAGTGCTGGAAGTCCTAGCTGGAGCAGCTAGATAAAAAAAGAAAGAAAAGACATCTAAATCAGAAAAAAAGAAGTAAAATTTTCCCTATTCACAGTGACTTAATCTTATACAGAAAAATCTGAAGATTCAACACAAAACTGTGAAAATAATTGAAATGAACAAAGTTGTAGGATCCAAAATCAACAAAATTAGTTGCATTTCTATACAGTAACAATGAACAATACAAAAAGAAAGTTTAAAAAAATCCCATTTATAATAGCAGTAAAAAAATATAAAAAATAAACTCAACCAAAAAGGCACAAGTCTTCTACACTGAAAACAACAAAACACTGCTGAAAGAGATTAAATAATACACAAATAGAAAGATATCTGGTGTTCATGGACTGGAAGAAAATATTGTTAAAATGTCAGTACTACCTATCTTAGTTGATTAAGGATGCTATGACAAAGTAACACAACTGGGTGGTTTAAAAACAGCAGAAATTTCTTACAGTTCTTGCGGATGGGAAATCCAAGTTAAATGTGCCAGCAGATTCGATGATTGGTGAGAGCTCACTTCCTAGTTCACAAAGGCACAGATTACCAAAGGAAAAATAGATAAGTGAGACTACTTCAAACTAGAAAGCTTCTATGCAGTAAAAGAGGCAATCAAAAATGTGAAAAGGCATCCTACATATTGGGAGAAGATTTGCAAACCATGTGAATTAGTCTGTTCTCAAGCTGCTAATAAAGATATACCTGAGACTGGGTAATTCACAAAGGAAAGAGGTTTAATTGACTCACAGTTCAGCAGGGCTGGGTAGGCCTCAGGAAATTTACAATCATGGCAGAAGTGGAGCAAACACATCCTTCACATGGCGGCAGCAAGGAGAAGTGCCAAGCAAAAGGGGGAAAAGCCCCTTATAAAATCATCAGATCTTGTGAGAACTCACTATCACAAAAACTGTAGCATGGGGGTATCCAATTACCTCTCACCTGGTCCCTCGCACACATGAGGATTATGGAGACTACAATTCAAGATGAGATTTTGTTGGGGACACAGCTAAACCACATCACCATGCATCTGATAAGGACTTAGTATTCAAAATATATAAAGAACTCCTACAAATTAATAGCAAAAAAACTAACACAATTTAAAAATGGACAAAGGACTTGAACCAATGTTTCTCCAAAGAAGACCTACATATGAACAAAAGGTGTATGAAAAGATGTTCAACATTGCTATTGATCAGGGAAATGCAAACCAAACTACAATGAGGTATCTTCTGACACTTATTAGGGTGGCCATTATCAATAAAACTGAAAATAACAAGAGTTGGTGAGGCTGTAAAGAAATTTGAATCCTTATACACTGTTGGAGGGACTGTAAAATGGGTCAGACCCTATGAAAATTCATCTGGTGGTATCTCAAAATATTTAAAATAGTACTGCCATGTGATCCATGTGATCCAGCAATTCCACTTTCAGATATTTATCCAAAAGAATCTAAAGCAGTATCTTGAAGAAATATTTGCACTTCCATGTTCCTTGTAGCCAATGAGGTACAATAAACACTACACCCAAAATATGGCACTTTGAAAATTGAAAAAACAACAGAAACTGGATGGTTTCTCTGATCTCTTCCCCCTTTCTCCCATGAAGCAGGCCATAAAACCTAGGAAGTTGATCTCTAACCTTCTCTCTTTCTTCTCCCATGAAGATCCTCATGTGACTCATGTCTTCCTCTATCCCCAGAGGGAAGGAATGTCACACAGGGGCCCTAAGAAGAAACCAAACTTGCCTTACTATTCACCCTCTCCCCTCCTGACCCTCTAATTATTACCATTAGATCTCACCTTTTTGTCCCCTAATCATACTTCTGCATGACTGTCCATAGAAATACTCAGATTTGTTAGGGAAATGCACATCAAAACAATGAGATACCATCTCACTCCAGTCAAATGGTGATTATCAAAAAGTCAAGAAACAACAGATGCTATTGAGGTTGCAGAGAAAAAGGAATGCTTTTACACTGTTGGTGGGAACGTAAATTAGTTCAACCATCATTAAAGACAGTGTGGCAATTCTTCAAAGATCTAGAAGCAGAAATATCATTTGACCCGGCAATCTCATTATTGGGTATACATCCAAAGGAATAGAAATCATTCTATTATAAAGATACATGTACACATATGTTCATTGCAGCAGTATTCACAATAGCAAAGACATGGAATTAACCCAAATGCCCATCAATGATAGACTGGATAAAGAAAATGTGGTACATATATTCCATGGAATACTATACAGCCATAAAAAGGAATGAGATCACGTCCCTTGAAGGGTCGTGGATGGAGCTGGAAGTCATTATCCTCAGCAAACTAACACAGGAACAGAAAAACAAACACTGCGTGTTCTCACTCATAAGTGGAAGCTAAACAATGAGAACACATAGTGGGGAACAACACACACTGGGGCATGCTGGGAGTGGGGAGGGAAGGCATCAGGAAGAATAGCTAATGGACGCTGGGCTTAATACCTAGGTGATATGTTGATCTGTTCAGCAAACCACCATGAAACATATTCACTAATGTAACAAACCTACACATCCTTCACGTGTGCTCCAGAACTTAAAACAGAAGTTGAAGAAAAAAAATATGCAGTTCTCCCTGTTTCTTTGGGTCTTCATTTATTAAGGCTCCTGTGTCACATAAAACATTAAATAAATTTGTTATGCTTTCCTCTTGTTAATCTGTCTTTTGTCATAAGATCTCAGCCACGATTTTGCCCTGGCTATGGAAAATATGTTTCTTTTTCACCCCTACACAACATTATTCATAATAGTAAGAGGTGTAAGCAACCTAAATGTCCATCAACAGAACAAATAAAGAAAATGTGGCCTATGCATATCATATGCTGCAACATGGTAAACCTGGAAGACATTATGCTAAGTTAAATAAGCAATCACAGAAAGACAAATACTGCATGATTCCATGTATATGAGGTATCTAAAATCATAGAAAGTAGGAAGGTGGTCATCAGGGAATGGGGCAGGGGAAAATGTGCATTTGCGTTTCAATGGGTGTAGAGTGTCCGTTATCCAAAATGAAAAAGTTCTAGAGATCTGTTGTACAACAACGTGCACACAGTTAATAATACTATAATGTGTTGTTCTGGCTTCTTGGGCTATAAAGTGCAAAGCAATAACACTCCATAGTAGAGTGTTGTTCACAGATTAGAAAGCAAACTGACATAGTGTATACTAAAATGTATGTCTCTGTCATGGTTGTAAAGCTTCAGTGTTTTGTATCGGTTTGCATTGTTTGCCATTTATTTATTCACTCGAACATTAGCTTGAGCACCTCCTTCATGCACATCACTAAACTCGGTGCTTTGAAGGATAAATATACTGAAAAATTTATCATTTAGTGAAAACACACACACTTGTTAAGCAAAACTAAACATGGTAGTTTTAAAGTTTTCTTGAAATATTAACATGAAAAAATGCTGGAGTGGAAGGGAGACACAAGGAAAATAATAGTATTTGAACTGTGTTTTTGGAAGTAGATAAGGACTTTCTTAAGCACAGAAAGAGACTGGCAGAAAGGGCATTCTAAGCAAAGTATAAGTAATGCTGCAAAAGCATGGATAAGGATGGAGATTTAGGTAACTTCTAGTAATGTTCTCTTATGACTGCATTTCGGGTGTAGGTCCTAAAGGTCAATGACACTGAGGAAACAGGTGGGAGCCAAAGCCAAAGAATCTAAATTTTACACCAGGGGAAGGTCAGCGGGAATGAGCATAAAGTATGCACTGAAGAAAATGCAATTTTTGAGGAGAGTCTACAAAATTAAACTGGTAATACATTTCATGTGAGGGTGAGGGGAAAAAATCAAATCTGGGTATGAATGCTTGAAGGAATCTTAAACTGGAAGGACACTCCAACTTAGCTTCTTCATTTTGTAGATAAATATTTTCATGTCCCAAAATAATGAGATCTTACCAAATTCCCAACAAGTAGTTAATAATAGGTCTGAATTAAATCAGGAAACTAAATTATCTAATTCCAAGCTTCATAAAAAGTTAAGACGAAATGTCTAAACTACAAAGTGAAGTCATTTATCATTCCACCTTTAGCACTCTTGCAGACTTTCTCCCAAATTATTCTTTATGTACTCTGAGGTCCAGCCAAAGTGACCTTATGTAACCCTATATGTGTACAATGATTTTCTGCCTCCATGACTTTCTTTATAATACTCTCATCAGTTGCTCTGTGCCTTTTCCATTAATGCTTGTCTACACTATTTATCTCTCAAAACTCAGCTCCAATGCTGCCTTTTCTAAGATCATATAAATTTTCCTCACCACTCTACTCCAGTCAGAAGTAATCTCTCTTTCTGAATTCCCACAGGACTGTGTGACTCTCTTGATGTTTACTATATTATATATTATATTGAAGTTATAGAAATATATTGTTTCAGGCAATAACCTAAGAGGCTCTCAAATGTAGCAAATATAGAATATTCACATTCAGTATCTCCCATAGCATCAGCCCCAAACTTATCAAATAGGTAGAGGCTAAATAAATATCTCTCAGATACACAAATAAATATTTTGGCTTAAAGTGTGGGGGTGGTGGGGGCAGAAGAGAACTATCTTTGCTTTTTTGCTATGTGAGTACTTGTTTAGTTTGGACATAATTAATGTCCAAAATAATTCAATTTTCTCTATTACACTATTTTAATCAGAATGGTAGTTTTCATTTCTAGCATAGCCATTCCTTTTGGGATGCAACTCCTCATTTCAAAAAGACATTGCAAAGGTAGATTTATCATAAAAGCTTTACTGCATCAGTCCTCACCCTTTTCAAACTTTTATTGCTAAGCAATTTCTTTCTTGACTTGCCGACAGAGGAAGCCACAATATATCTCCCAGGCAACCAGATACGTACATAGCTGAGATTATTAAAATAAACCTAGGGTTTATCCTAAGTATTAAATAAAGGTTTAAATTGTCCTGCAGATTGATATAATCACATGGATGGTGGATAGGTCTTTATTTCTATAATGATTTTATACACCTGCATGTTCCAGTTTGGAATTCTTGGGATTGAGGGTCTATTTGTTGGGCAACTGAAAATGAGGCTAAACATGCTATTCATCTCTCTGAAATTAATCAAGATGGACCTAGAGTTGATCCTCTATGTTAAACAAAGGTTTAAATAGTCATTCAATAATTGTAACACCCTATATAACAGATGGGCTTCTACCCCTACAGTGATCTTACCTATCTGCTCACTCTTGCTTGAAGTCTTTTTGGGTAAAAATAGGGGTAGAGAATTGTATTATGTAGTCAGAAATGAGGCTGATAATGTTTCATTGACTTAAATTCACAGTATGGTGTAACTGATTTTTTTTAGATGTGTTCTTAAAGCTGACTTTGAGAGAGGAAAGAGTCTTGGGTGTGTTAGAAGAAGAAAAACAGATTCTGTAATCAAGAGTAAGAAGGATGCCTCTAGTAGTTGTTTCTAATTTTGCCAAGGACCCTAGAGACCAACAACAAAAATAGCTTCCTCATTATCAGTGTTTTGAGATTAATCTAGGGGTTTGAATTATTCAGGTAATTGTTCCTTATGTGTAGAGGTTGAGTCTGGATACACAAAGTTAAAATTAAACATTTAAAACTGAAATTATGATTGTTCCTTTAAAATGTGTTTCCCTTTCATTCCTTTTTTTTAGAAAAATACATAATTATTAATCTAGCTGCAGAAGCCAGAAATCTAGGTGGCATCCTTAACATTGCACTCTTCCTTGCGACTTTTGTTCAACTGACCACCAAATGTTTGCCCATTATGTTATAAATACCTCTTGAAAACATATACCTCCTTCCTTCCACCACATAGTTCAAGCAAACATCATGCATCAATAACTTCTCATTTCAAGATGCACCCATTCTGTAATCCCTCCAAATTAACGCATCTTTTATACGGCATTCACTCATTCACTCATATATTCATTCATTCAAGTACATACAGGTATACTTCATTTTATTCCACTTTGCTTTATTGTGATCTGCAGATAATGTAGTTTTTAAAAATTGAAGGTTTATGTCAACCCTGCGTTGAGCAAGTCTGTCTACACCATTTTTCTAATAATGTGCTCACTTTAATTATCTGTGTTACATTTTTGTAATTCTTGCAATATTTGAAACATTTTCATTATTATTATATCTGTTATGGTGATCTGTAATCAGTGATCTTTAATGTTACTATTGTAATTGCTTTGAGGTGCCACAGACTGCACCCATATAAGATGGCAAAATTAATCAATAAACGGGTGTTTTCATACTGCTTCACCAACTGGTCATTCCCCCAACTCTCTCTCTTTCTTTGTGCCTCCCCATTTCCTAAGATACAAAAATATAGAAATCAGGCTAATTCATTACCTGATAAATGGCCTCTAAGTGTTCAGGTGAAAGGAAGAAGTACACATCTCTCAATTTAAATCCAAAGCTGGTAATTAATAAGCTTGGTGAGGAAGGCATATCAAAAACTGAGACAGGCTGAAGGCTAGGCCTCTTGTGCCAAACAGTTAGCCAAGTTGTGAATGCAAAGGAAAAGTTCTTCAAGGAAATTAAATATGCTACTCTAGTGAACACACAAATGATGAGAAAGAAAAACAGTCTTATTGCTGATATGGAGAATGTTGTAGATCAACCCAGCCATAACATCCCCTTAAGGCAAAGCCTAATCCAGAGCAAATCCTTAACTCTCTTCAATTTTATGAAGGATAAGAGAGGCGGGAAAGATGCAGAAGAAAAGTTGGAGGTAAGCAAAGGTTGGTTTGTGAGGTTTAAGGAAAGAAACCCATCTCCATAACATCAAAGTGCAAGGTGAACAGCAAGTGCTGATGTAGACGCTGCAACAAGTTATTCAGTCCTTGCTAAGACAATTGATGAAAGGGGATACACTAAACCACAAATTTTCAATGTTGATGAAACAGCCTTCTCTTGGGAGAAGATGCCATCTAGGACTTCTATAGCTAGCGAAAGTCAATGCTTGTCTTCAAAGATTCAAAAAACAGGCTAAGCTCCCTCATTAGAAGCCTATTCATGTAGTGACTTTGAGTTGAAGCTAATGCTCATTTACTTTTCTGAAAATCCTAGGGCCCTTAAGAATTATGCTAAATCTTCTCTCCCTGTGCTCTATAAAAGGGAAAACAAAGAGCCTGGATAACAGTATATATGTTTATAGCATAGATTACTGGCTATTTTCAGCCCACTGTTGAGAAAGAAAAAGATTCCTTTCAAAATATCACTGCTCATTGACAATGCATCTGGTGGCTGATCCAAGAGAGCTCTGATGGAGATATACTAGGAGGTCAATGTTGTTTTCATGCCTGCTAAGACAACATCCATTATGCAGCCCATGGATTAAGGAGACGTTTCGACTTTCAAGACTTCTTATTTAAAAAACGCATTTTGTAAGGCAATATAGCTGCCATCAATAGTAATTTTTCTGACGGATCTGGGCAAAATAAGTTGAAAATATTCTGAAAAAGATTCACCATTCTAGATTCCATTAAGAACATTTGTGATTCATGGAGGGGAAATCAGAAGAGGAGCTTGGAAAAAGTTGATTTCAACCCTCATGGATGACTTTGAGAAATTCAAGACTTCTGTGGAAGAAGTAATCGCACATGTGGTGGAAATAGCAAGAAATCTAGAATTAGAAGTGGACCCTGAAGATGTGACTGAATTGCTGGAATCTCATGATAAAACTTTAATAGATGAGAAATTGCTTCTTATGTATTAGTAAAGAAAGTGGCTTCTTGAGAAGGAATCTAATCTCAATGAAGATGCTATGGACATTTTTCATATAACAACAAAAACTTGAGAATGTTGGCTGGGCATGGTGGCTCATGCCTGTAATCCCAGCAATTTGGGAGGCTGAGGTGGATGGATCACTTGAGGTCAGGAGTTCGAGACCAGCCTGGCCAACATGGTGAAACCCCATGTCTACTAAGAATACAAAAAAAAAATTATTGAATGTGGTGGTGCTCACTTGTAATCCCAGCTACTCAGGAGGCTGAGGCAGGAGAATCACTTGAACTTGGGGGGCAGAGGTTGCAGTGAGCCAATATTGTGCCACTGCACTCCAGCTTGGGTGACAGAACAAGACTGCATCTCAAAAAAAAAATGAGAATATTCTATAACCTTAGTTGATAAAGCAGTGGCAAGATTCGACAAGATCGAATCTAATTTCTAAAATGTTCTACTTTGGGCAAAATGCTATCAAACAGCATCACATGCTGCACAGAGATCTTTCTTGAAAGAGTCAATCGAGGCAGCAAACTTCATTGTTCTACGATTTTAAGAAACTCCCACAGTCACCTCAACCTTCAGCAACCACCTCCATGATCAGTCATAGCCATCAACATAGAGGGAAGACCCTCTACCAACCAAAAAGGATTATGTACAACTCACTGAAGGCTCTGATGATCATTAGCATTTTTTAGCAAGAAAGTATTTTTAATTAAGGTGTGTGCATTGTTGTTTTAGATGTAATCCTATTGCACTTGTAATAGACTACAGTGTAGTATAAACATAACTTTTACAAACACTGGGAAACCAAAACAATTTGTGACTTGCTTTATTGCAATGGTCTGGAACCAAACCCACGATATCCTTAAGGTGTGCTTGCATTGAGCACCTACTCAGGGGCAGACGTTATTCTAGACAGTGGAAAATATTAATAAATAAACCAAATTTCTATACTTATACAGCTAGCACTCTAGTTTGGGGATATGAACAACAAACAAAGAATTATGCAGAGTTATATAAACAGAGATATATAAACAAAAGTCAAGAATAGTAACTGCTGTGAACAAAGTGGGAAGAAAACAGAGCATTTAGGGAAAGCCTTTTTTGATACAATATTCAAGAAAAGCTTCTTGAATAAGGTGATATTTGAGCCAAAACCTAAAGAAATAATGGAACAAGACTTATAAAGAACAGGGGAAAGAACATTCCAGGGACAAGGAGGAGAAATTGCAAGAGCCCTAAATATACTTATTATGTTGAGGAACAGCAAGAAAGTAGTGTGACTGGAATATCATGAGTGATTAAGAGAGCAGTAAAATGTTAAATCAGAGAAGTAATGGTGGCAGGGGAGCAGAAGACGGAGGACTTCATAGGCCATATTAAGGTCTTGAAATTTATTTTGAGTGAGATGGGAATCCATTAAAGGAAGTCGAGCAGAAAAGTTACTGAACCACTTCAGATTTTGAGAAGGACTCTCTGGCTGTTGCATAGAGCAGACCTCGTAGGTACTATTAAGAGTGAAAAAAGAGAAACTCAGTATGAGTCTTTTGAAATAGCCCCGACAAAAGGTGTGTGCAGCTTGAACTATAGGGTCATTGTGGAGAGCTGAAAGAGGATAGACCTCCAGGACTTTAGCTCTATCTTGAAGGTGGAGCAGACAGGATGTGCTGACATATGACATATACATTGCAGACTGTGAGGAAAATAGAGGGATTGGAAATGACCGCAAGGTATTCAGCCTCAGCAGCTGGGAGGATGACACTACTAGCCTTTTTGACTCTATAATACTGGAGGAGGATCAGAGTCGTTTGTTGTGGGTTTTTGTTGTTACTGGTGCTTGTAATCAGGGTGGTTTGTGGAGGAAACGAAAGTCAAGAGATCTGTTTTTTTATATGCCAGGTTTGAAGTACTAATTAGTCTCCCATTAGGAGTGTTCAAGTAGCTGATAGGATGTAGAAGTGTGCAGTTTTGGAGGAGTGTTGGAACTGAAGATCTAAACATTTCTATTTACAAATCATATTTATCACCAGGAGACTGGAGAAGACACCCTCAAGTATAGGTGTAGAAAGAATGTAGTTCTGCAGTCTGAGTGCTAGGGAACTACCATATTTGGAAGTCAGAATAAAGATAAGGAACCAGCCAAGAGAACCAAGGAGGAACAGTTAATGAGGTATGAGAAAAATCAAAAGAGTAATGATTTCCACCAAAATGTGATGTGATCACAATACCTTTTTGTCCAGTAGTTCTCACTGGCCTAAGTTTTACATTCTCCTTCCTATGTGTTTTTGTACCACCAGAGTTGAAGGCCTGCAAAGTACATACCAGACCCCCAAGGCCATCTGAGTATTTGTCAGCTTCTCCCGGTGAGAAACACTGAAAAGAGAATTGCAGATGATAGAAAAGGAGTAACCATTTAATTTTGATTCTGGAGGCAATTAAAGCAGTGGGGAAATTGACAATAGCACATGATGGTAGCTCCAACTGAGTCAATGGAAGTTTCAGAAAATTTAGCAATAGGACAGGCATTGCATCCTAGTGCCTGGGACATAATAGGTAGTAAATACTTACTTCTTAAATAAATGAGTGGATGCACCAGAAAAAAAAAAAAAACAAACCTCTTTTCTCTCCCCTGTCTCTTACATCCAATTAAGGATTGTCAAGCCCTGTATGAGATACCATTTCTCTCACATCTGTCTTCTCTCTGTTACCACTGTCATCACTGGGTTCTTATAGCCCACATCATTATAGTGACCTAAATGTTCTCTGCTTTATACAACTCATTGTGCATCTATAGCCATATTACCGTCAAGAGTACTACTCAAAGACCTCAAAGGGTGATTAAAAATTAGCTAAAGATAATGTCTTATTTTCTAAAACTACCTCCATTTTGTGTATTTTTAACTTGCCAGCCAAAAAAAAAATGCCAATATTTTGATGTCAGGAACACCCAGGAGCTACCCTTCACTAGAGCAGATGATCTTAAACATATGGAATTAGAATCTCAAATAAAAATTCTCTGAACCACCAGGCCTTACCTGACATTCATAAAACATGCACATTTTCATTCCTCTGCTCAGAATGTAGTTGACTTTTTCATGCATTGGGAATGAAGAACTATTCAATATTCCCCTGTGGTGGATTAACCTAAACCAATCTAGAACAAACTTTTTCTTCTTGAAGGCTTACATTACTTCTTGATCACTTTATTCCACCAAGAGGTTACTGGTTTTTCTATCCCAAATAAATAGCTCTCTTTAGTTACCCTCAGTGGTATGGATAGGGGGCTTGACTGCCAAAGACAAAACAAGCTGAAAGAGTCAGTCTGAAAGCAGGGAGATCACCTCCCCAGCATTCCCTAATGCAATGAAATGATTGCATTGCTTTGTTGGTTATGCTAGCAGAGTGCATTTCTAATGCCTCTTCTCTTCATTCATGAGTGTTTAAACATTTTAATGAATATGTTATTTACTGTAATAAAGTCAGAGTCTGCTATTAAATTAATAGAGCAGTGTAACCAAGAATCCCATAACAGCAATTTATTCCTGCTCAGTGTTACTGAGTTCTAAACACAGGATTCCTGGCTATTTGCATTCTCTGCTAGTCATAGCTGTTGCATAAATACTCTTTAGCTGCAAATAATTACCAAATTCAAGTTAATATATATATTTGTGTGTGCATGTTTGTGTACATCATGCTTTAGCATGGTGAATAAAATCAATGAGTCCTAGAAACAAAAAGCCTAGCTTCAAATTTGGTTCTAGGAGCTGGATATGCTTAAGCAAATTACATTCTCCCTGAGGTACAGTTTTCTCATCTGTCAAATGGGGATAACAACAGCATCTCCCTTGTTAGATTGTTCAGATAAAATAAATGAGATATTATACACAAAACACAATTCCTGACACATGTTAAAGCCCTATAAATACTAGATATGAATACTATCAAATGTAAGGACTGAACAGGGTCATCATTAACCCAGAGGAGCTTTTTGAAAATTAGAAAAAGTCACCCCTTTTGGCAGGGGAAACAATGCTGTGTAGAGCTTCATGAGTGAAACATGAACTGTATTTTAGCCCGCAATCCCCCTCTTAGCTGAGCATGCTTGAACAGAGTTCCGTTGGTCCTAGAACTGACCTTGCTTTCTTCTTCTCTACTTCAATCACGCTGATTCCTTTCCTTTTCCCTTCCTTCATCATTTTAAGGATTTCAGAAGGAGTTGGGCTTCCCATGATCAATTAAAATGCTCTCAAAACAAAGGAGGTGGTCTCCCAAAGTAAAGATTTTGTCTTTTTAAATGTTAGATTCCTGAGCACTAGCCATGGACTTATTCTGTAATGGAAACTTAATAAATGAATGAATAAGTGAATTAATAACAAAAAGGGCATGCCATTTTATTGACTTAAAATTCAAATTAGGCTTCAACTGATAAATTCTGTCAGCTGGAATTCATTTTAAATATTCATAATACCATAACAAAACAAATATTTAAAATTCATCCATAGAATCATGTTGTATCACAAAAATAACCATCTGATAAGCACATGTAATTGGTGAAGAAAAGCCAAATGATATGGAATATGAAATTCTTAACCAAACATTGCCCTCAATATAGGAATTGATCTTAATTTAGGAAAGAGTAGTTTAAAATTTTCTGCAGAACAGTCTTGCTGTTTCTTAATCAGACCTGAATTCATGATTGCACAACCAATATTCAGTAATAAAACATACTAAAATGTTTAAGCAATTGACTCCCTTCTGCTGTTATTTACTGAATTAGCCAATTTTTTGAGATCTGATTGGTGACTTGGGTAATCCATTGAGTATAATAACAAAACTATTTTTTCTACCATATAATCAAAAGCATATATTTCTAAACTATCTTACATTCAAACAGTGTGGCAAGAACCAAATGCAAGCACAAAACAATAGCGCTCACTCAGTCAATCAATCACAGCCATGCAAAACCCAACAGGAGGCTTAATGTCGATGAAACAATGGTCACAGTTACAAACAATCACACTTATATGCAATCTTGATATAAACACAGTTTGTTTTATATTAAGGAGAGAAAAAAGCATTTTCATTGTCTCAGTTTCACAGTCTAAAGAAAACCCAAATATCTAAAACAGAGTTCTTTATGATCCATAATTTAATAAATAAGGCTACTCTGACTGCTTTACTTAAAATTGCAGGTTTGTTATCTTCACATCCCATTCCTGACATTCCTGACTTTTCTTCTCTAGTTCTGTGTTTTGTTTTATCTGGAGGATTCATCACTTCCTAACACTATAAAGTTTAATTATTTACAATTCCTACTGTCTGTTGTCTGTCTCCATCCCCTGTATACAAGTAGGATACAAACTCATGTCCAAAACAGGCTAGAATGTGTGTGTGTGTGTGATCTCACTAATATATATCAAAAACCGAAAAACAGTTCCAGGCACACCTTAAGGATCTCAATAAATATTTTTGAATGAAAAGAATTTATGTCACTCTTTTGATTAAAATAATTTTATTGGTTTTTGTTACAATAGAGTATAAAACTTATACTCTTAACCAGGGCCTAAAATAGCTATGTGTCCCAACTCTCTCTCTCCCTCCTTTTCATTTTATCCCTCTCTCCTATTGCCTATGTTACTGCAAACCTAATGGACTCCTTTCAAAGGGTAAATATGCTAAGTTCTATTCTGTATCAGGGCATTCTCACATGGTATTCCTTCTGCCTGGAATATTCTCCTCCCTACCTCCTTTTCTGCCTTGGATTTTCATTGGCCAACTTCTTAATGTTTAAGCATTTATTGAAAGGTTATTTTTCTAGAGGTGTTTTCCCTCATCACCCTAAATAAGCATCCCCCACTACCACACATGTACCTTATATACTTCATTTTTTCCTCCAGCCTAGTACTAAATACAATTTACAACTGCACATTTGTGTACTTGGTTTATTCTCTGTTCCTCCATTAGCCTCTGTGTTTCATGAGGATAAGAACTTCAAATTTCACAAGTGCTTTGCTAGGCCTAGCACATAACAGATGCTCGATAAATGGTTGATGAGTAAATGAGTACACAGCATATTATCTTAGAACAAAGCTCTTAATTCCTATTTGGAGAAGATTTTTCTTCAAGAGAACAAAATAAATACCATCAGTGGGCTTGGCCCCATATTTCCAGGAGTTAGACTTCTAATTCTAATTCAAAGTCAAAATGAATTAAATCATATGTTCATTCTTCATTAAGTTTCACCATGGCCATGTGATGCTACACCTGCAGCTGTTCAGGAGTGTCCAGATGGCTACTGTCATAACTGAAACTGACAAGATGTTTAGGCAGCTTTTGAATATATTCTTTGTGAGTATGTGTTTTGAGAGAGAACACTCAACATCTGATTAATATGCAATGCAGATTGACCCTAAATCCTACCCATTTTATTTTATATAAGTTTATTACTCTTCACTCAGTGCTGTAAAGTTTAATTAAAGTCAGTGGCTGCATCTTGATTAATCTAATTACTTGACATGTAGCTCATGAGCACTTATAATCCTAAATACTAAGCAGACATCAGTTTCTCCTATTTTATTCCATGAGACAATTTTTTTCTTACTATCAATTATAGAAAAGACATTTTGCTGGATATTGGAAAGAGGGTGACCTACTGTCACTGCTTTCAGTTAGGGATATAATGGGACATGATCTATCCTGATTTAGTAGTTGTGTTTGTTTTTGTTATTTTTATTTATCTGTTTGTCTCAGGGAGCTTAAAATATCCTCAACAATATATACTGATTATTAAATTTGCACAATAAAACTATGCATGTTTATTTAAAAATAACTACATCGGCCAGGCGTGGTGGCTCACGCCTGTAATCCCAGCACTTTGGGAGGCCGAGACGGGCGGATCACAAGGTCAGGAGATCGAGACCATCCTGGTTAACATGGTGAAACCCCGTCTCTATTAGAAATACAAAAAAAGTAGCTGGGCGCAGTGGCGGGCACCTGTAGTCCCAGCAACTCGGGAAGCTGAGGCAGGAGAATGGCATGAACCCAGAAGGCGGAGCTTGCAGTGAGCCGAGATCACGCCACTGCACTCCAGCCTGGGCAACAGAGCGAGACTCCGTCTCAAAAAAAAAAAAAAAAAAAGTAACTACATCACCAACCCATTTTACCCCCATCTAGGTACCATACTCATATAACCTGCTAATCTGGACTGTCTGCCCATGTCAATTTCTCTTAAAAACATGTCTTAAATCTCACTCCCACTGAAAGTGTAGGGGTGAGTTTCCTTCTGTCTCAAATTACCACAAATTCCTTCCATCTCAGCTCCGTGGTGTTTATAAAAATCACATCTGTTACTACATCTTTTTTGTTCTTTTATATATTACCTAACATTATTTTAGAACTTTTAAGTATACATACCTTGTTTTCATGAATTCTTTATTACATTTTCATGACAAAGACTAAATTATATAATGGTATTCCCCACAATGATTAGTATAGTACTAGAAAAAATATTTCATTTATATTTGTAAAATAATGCAAATAGCAAATAACAATAAATCTACCATAAATTTCCTCAAGATTTATTTAATATAAAGTATTAAGGTTACTTGTAATTTTATCCCCATTCCTGCTATCTCACCTATTATGGCTATTACAAAGTGATGCCAGGATTTCCTTACTTTTTTTCTCCACTTTTGAAGTTGGTAAGTCCCTTCAGCAAAGACTAAATATTACATACAATCCTCCTAAGTCAAAGGGAAGAACAAAGACATGTATTAGGAAGTTCACTCATTGTGATTCCGTCAGTATTTTCAGAGGGGTTCCTTTTCCTGAACTTAAGGTCAATCATAGCAGCCATTTGCCTAAAAATCATATTTATCAATCACAAAGGATCTCAGGTATAGACTTTTAAATTTGTTTTCTATTAAGGTATATATGTATATCTAGCTCTCTGTCATTGGTGTATGTACATCTGTATCTAACCAATCATCCATTCATGTGTATATGTGCATGTGTCTCCACGTAGTCATAGAAATACATGGATACAAAAGGGGGAGGTGAAGATACAGAAGAGAGAAGGAATCTTGAGGTTTCTGGATCACTGTAAGGGCCTTCTTGAAAATGGAAAAGAGGCCCTTAACTTTATTTTCTTCATGAGTTTCTCTGTCTAGTCCTGAACTCTAAAGAAAGGTTAAAGAATTAAAATGACAATAAAATCCTCACCTAAAGTTCATGCTTATAAAGTTTACCCATCTGGTATATCAAATATTTTAAGTTCTATTTTTATGTCCATAATTTTCCATTTCCCCAGTAAGAACTCCTTTATGTGAAGTTGTTAATAGCTGCTTCCTTAAAAAACTTAAGAGGGTTTCTATTAATATATTTCACCAAGAGAACAGGGTGTGTTGGGCTATTTCATAAATCTCTTGCAGACAGACACAAGGGAACAGCCTGTAGAGAGAACTGTGAACAACTGTTCTATTTTCACTGCGGACAGACTAGAAAGATTCTTCCCATGGGTCTCAAGGAATAAGAGTTAAAACGGCAGACTGAGTATACCCATTTAACTTGCTTCCTCCTGAATCTTTATTAAACATACACTGAAGAGGTTTTGTTGTTGTTGTTGTTGTTGTTGTTGTTTTTGAGATGGAATCTCACTCTGTCGCCCAGGCTGGAGTATAGTGGCACGATCTGGGCTCACTGCAACCTCTGCCTCCCAGGTTCAAGCGATTCTCCTGTCTTGTCCTCCCGAGTAGCTGGGATTACAGGTGACGCACACCCACGCCCAGCTAATTTTTTGTCTTTTTAGTGGAGACGGATTTTACCATGTTGGTCAGGCTGGTGTTGAACTCCTGACCTCAGATGATCCGCCCACCTCGGCCTCTCAAAGTGCTGGGATTACAGGCCTGAGCCACCGTGCCCAGCCTGTTGTTGTTTTTGAAAAGGCAAAGGGCTGGGAGAAAAAGAAAGGATAATATCAGTAAAACCTGCCAGCCAGAAGGTGGATGGATGTGTCGTAACTTATCTTTCAGCCTGAAAGCCAAACCCTGGAATTTTGGTGAGAAAAGTAGATAAGCAAATCAATTTTTATCAAATTTTCAAAAGCCACAATCACTGTCAGCACCAGGTATGACGCAAATGGGAGGGAGAGCAGCTGGGACACTAACACAGACAGCACTGAATGAATGCACTTTGGGAGGCAATTTGTTGCCAGATTGTTTCTATCACTCCACACATTTGGAAGGCTGCCCCTCCCCCAGTTTTCCGATCTGGTAAGTGGGGAGCTTAGAAGTCACCATCTCCTCCCAACAAGTAAAAAGCTGAACAAACTGAGAAATCAACTCTTCTCACATCTGTCAGAGAAATGAGATTGCAGGGCAAACCACTACCCTAAAAGCTGGAGAGGCAGACAGGCAAGTACAGATAGTCACAACTTAACGGAGCAGAAACCCACCTCTGCAGGAACCATTACTGGGGTAGGAAACCCTTAATTGTAATTGATGGATTCCTAGAGATTGAGTGTGGACAAGTCTGAGAGTTAAAAACTCCCAAGGGACCAAATAATAGGGGAGTTCCTATACTTTTGTGAGTTTTATCTCTAGGAGCTCAACCAGGTTCTCACAGCAAATAAGAAAAATCCCTCATGCTTCTAGGAGGAGGAGAAGAAAAGTAGCCTTTTGAAATAGACCAGAGCATTCGGTTTTTCTTCATAAGTCCTGCCCTCAAAGAAATTATTTTACTGGAGCCTAAACTATTAGAATTTTTCAGTGCTTAACTGACCTGGGGGAAGGAAAATACCACATTCTAGCTCACTTTCGCCATTTTGTCCCAACCAAGTGGGGTGAAGGATAATTGACAAGCACTTGTGAGGTTGAGATTTCTGAAGCACAGGCTCACTGAAAGACTCAGACTTAATCTCAGGAGTACAGAATGCTTTCCCTATCCCACACCTCACCACATTTTACTGAAGACTTATATACAGCAGTTCCTTCTACCTGGTACCTCACGTCTGGCTACCAAGAAAAAATTACAAGGCACAGTAAAGGCAAAATACACCGTTTAGAGAGACAAAGCAAGCATCAAAACTAAACTCAGATATGGAACGGATATAAGAGTTATCCAACTTGAAGTTGAAAACAACTGTGATTACTATGCTAACAGCTTTAATGGATAAAGTAAGCAGCATTAAAGATCATATGGCCATGCAAGTAGAAAGATAAAAATCCTAAGAAAGAATCAAAAAGAAATACCGAGATCAAAAACAGTGTAACATAAATGACAAATGGCTGTGGTGGGCTCAGCCACGGACATGGCTGAGAAAAGAATCTCTGAGCTTGAGTAGGGTATCTCAATAAAAATGTCCAAAACTGAAAAAAAAGAGAAAAATGACTTAGAAAATAGACCAGAATATCCAAAAACTTTGGAACAAACAATAAAAGGTATAACATACATATTAGCTTGGTGCAAAAGTAATTATGATTTTTGTCATTGAAAGTAATGATAAAAACCACAATTACTTTTGCTCCAACCTAATATAATAAGGATATAAGAAGGAGAAGAGAGAAAGAGAGGAAGGAAGGAAGGAAGGAAGGAAGGAAGGAAGGAAGGAAGGAAGGAAGGAAGGAAGGAAAGAAGGTAGTTTGAAGCAGTAATGACTGATAATTTTACCCAAATTAATGCAAGACACAAAACCACCGATTCAGGAAGCTCAGAGAAAAACAAGCAGGATAAATGTAAAATACATGCACGTGCGCACACACACACACACATCATATTCAAACTGTGGAAAATCAAGTCCTGAAAAAATGCAGGGGATAAACAAACAAACAAAAAATGCCTTATCTATAGAGAAGCAAAGATAAGAATTATATCCAACTCATCCTCAGAAATCAAGCAAGAACAAAGTGGAGTGAATAAAAGTGTTGAGAGAAAATAAAAGCAAAACACTAACTAGAATTCTGTGCCCTAATTCTTCACAAATTGAAGGAGAAATACTTTCTCAGACAAATAAATGGCGTTTATTGCCAGTACACCTGCTTTGTCAGAAATTTTAAAATAAGTTATTTAAAGAGAAGGCAAATAACATATGTGAGAAACTCAAATCTACATAAAGAAAGAAAGAGTATCAGAGATGGAATAAGTAAATTAAAACTTTTTAAAAATTCTTAATTGATGTAACAGATAACAGTTTATTCAAAATAAAAGCAACAATGTATTTGACTATGTGTTTGTGTGTATGTATATATAAATACACACATAGGTATATAGCATATGGGGTGTCTGTGTGTGTGAATGTATATATGTATGCATGCTTATATGTGCTGTAAACAAAAAAAAAAGTATCTGAGAAAAGTCTCAGTCAATTTAAATGTTTATTTTGCCAAAGTTGAGGATGCAACTGGGAAAAAGAGACAAGAGCCAAAGTAGGATCAGTGGCTCATGTGTTTTTGGAAGAGGATTTTGAAACTTTCAATATTTAAAGGGAAAAAGAAGGAAGGAGGGGAAACGAGAAAGTGAAAAAAGAGCAAAGGTATGGTTACCTCTTGTGAATCCACATCTGGCATGTGAAAAGGAGGGGTGATGGAAATATAGTCAATTATGTATTCATCTTGCACTCAGCAAATCTGCACTTTACATGCTACAAAATAAACATAGAGTAAAGGAAGCAGTTAAAAATGCATTTATATCAGGGTTAACAGAAATTAATTTCTCATCTCCCTTGTCTCATGCCATGAAGATAAGCCATTAATTTACATTGTCAAGGTGAGGAGGGCCCCCTGTGAAGACATGTGGCCTTCTATCTGTAGCTATCGGTTTAGGAACAAAAAGCAAGGCAGGAGTGTGTGTGTGTGTGTGTGTGTGTGTGTGTGTGTGTATGAGACTTGGCTTCTAAGTTTAACTTTTCCCTTTTGGCACAGGAAACTTGGGGTCTCAAGATTTTATCTTTCTTTCACAGTCCTTATGAATAAGTGAAATAAAGGATAGCAACAATACAGAGGACAGAATGAATAAATTAAAATTATTTTGTTATTATAAGACAGTTGCATTACCCATGAAGTGGTACAGTGTTATTTGAAAATAGACTAATTATTTGTAAATGTATATTGCAAAGTTTAGGGTAACCATGAAAAAGAAGAACTATTAGAGTTATGCTGAGAAATTAGAGAAAATGAAATCATATAAAATGTTCAACCGAAATCACAAAAGGCAGAAAAAAGTGTAAAACAAAATAGGAACAAAGAACAAGGGCAACAAACAGAATAACAAACATGGTAGTCTGAAGAGATTGGAAAAATTAACCTATTTTTCCCACTCTTGTGCAGTCAACACAGAATACTTCACCTCTAATCACCAAAAGGTATAGGGATTTCTCCTCAACAGCAACCACTTAATTCTCCAGTGAACACTAATAGGATATCCTTTAATTCAATTCAATTCTGAGACTACCTGGAGGTAGTGTCAGATCCAATGGGCAAAAGGCTCAGTCCCACAAGACTTCCCTCCACTTCAGATGGCAGTCACAAGCCCCAAGTTGTGACCTGTGCTTCTGATTGACTTAATGTCAATTAGAGTTCATGCAACACCCTCTTCAGTTTTGATTAATTTGCTAGAGTGATTCAGAGAACTCAGAGAAATACTGTACTTACATTTATGCATTTATTATAAAAGATATTACAAAGGATATAGATAAATACCAGATTGTGGAAATACATAGGGTAATCTTTGGGAGGAAAAGTACATAGAGTTTCTATGCCCTCACTAGGTATATTAGTCTGTTGTCACATTGCTATAAGGAAATACCAGAGACTTGGTAATTTATAATGGAAAGAGGTTTGATTGACTTCCAGTTCCGTGTGGCTGTAAAGGCCTCAGGAAACTTACAATCATAGTGGAAGACAAAGGGAAAGAAGGCACCTTCTTCACAGAGTGGTAGGAAGGAGAACTGCTGAGCAAAGAGAGAAGAGCCCCTTATAAAGCCATCAGATCTCATGAGAACACACTCACAATCAGGAGAACAGCATGGGGGAAACCGCCCCCCATGATTCAATTACCTCCACCTGGTCTCTCCAGTGACAGGTGGAGACTATGGGGATTACAATTCAAGATGAGATTAGAGTGAAACAGAGCCTAACCATCTCACCGCACATGCTACCTTCTAGGCAACTTCACATAGTCAATTATTCAGAAGCTCTCTAAACTGTTCTTGTTGGGTTTGTGGCAGTTTCATTACATAGGTATGATTAATTAAATCACTAACCATTGATGATCACCTCAACTTTTACTCTTTCTCTCCATTCTGGAGGTTGGGGGTTAGGATAGGAAGCTTTAACCTTCTAATCATATGTTTGCTTCCCCAGGCAACCAGTTCCCCATCCTGAGGCTATGCAAGAGTCCCTGGCCATCAGTCATCTCATTACTATACAAAAAGGCACTTATCACTTAAGAGATTCCAACAGTTTTAGCTGTATTCCAGAAAACAGGGACAAAGTCCAAATACGTATTTTACAATATGGGAGGTAGCTATTAATCTAACTATATCATTAATCACTTTAAATATTAATGATCTCAATACACCAGTTAAAAAACAGAGACTGTTACATAGATTAAAAAAAAGGATTCAACTATATGTTGTTTATGAGAAACTACTTTAAATTGTAAAAGTGCATATAGATTAAAAGTAAAGAAATGAAGACAGATATACCATTTCAACACTAATGAAAAGAAAGTGGAAATAGCTATATTAATTTCAGGCAGAGCAGATTTCAGAGGAAGGAAAGTTATCAGCAATAAAGAGGGGCATTACATAATGATAAAGGGGTCAATTCTATAAGAAGATATAACAATCCTTCCTGTTGTATATGCCTGACAATAAAGTGTCAAAATAAATGAGGCAAAAAATGATAGAACAACAAGTAGAAATATATGAACTCACTGTTATGGTTGGGGATGTTAACACCTTTCTATCAGAAAATAATCAAATGCATCAAGCAGAAAATAAGTAAGGACCTAGTTTAAACCAATAGCACCATCAATCAACTGAATATAATTGACATCTATCAACTACTTCATCCAAAAACAATAGAATACACATTATTCTCAAACTACCTAATACGTTTTCCAAAGTAGACCATTTTCCAGTCTATAAAATATACCTTAAAAACTCAAAATAATTAAAATCATACAATGTCTCTTCTCAGACCACCATAGAATTAAACTAAAAATCAATAACAGAAAGATAGCTGCAAAAGCCCAAAACACTCAGAGATTAAACAGCACTCTTCTAAATAAAATATGGGTCAAAGAAGAAATCTTAAGAAAAATTAAAAGTATTTCAAACTAAATGAAAATGAAAACACAACTTGTCAAAATTTGTGAAATGCAATGAAAGCAGTACTTATGGGGACATTTATAGCATTGAACAATGTATTAGAAAAGCAGAAAGACCCAAAAATTAATAATCTAAGATTAAATATTTAGAAACTAGAAAAAGAGAAAATTAAATTCAAAGTAAAAAAAGAAAAAATATAACAAATACTAGAATGTAAGTCAATGAAATTAATATAGAAAATCAATAAAACCAAAGGCTAGTTTTTTTGAAAGATTAATAAAATTGATAATCCTCTAGACAGGTTAACAGAAAAAATAGAGATGACACAAATCCTAATATAAGAAATAAAAAAGTGAGCATCACTACAGATACCAAGGACATTGAAAAAAATAAATATTATTAACAAACCTACACCCACAAATTTGCAAACCTGGAATAGACTGAATCTGTGAAAAACAAAATCTGCTAAACTCACAAAAGAAGACAAAAACAATCTGAATAAACCGATATCTTTTAAGGAAATTATCAATAATTAACACATTTCAAAAACAGAAAGCACCAGGCCCAGTTTGGTTCACTGGTGAATTATATCAAACAATTAAGAAAGAAATTATGCCAATTCTCTACAACTTTTTCAGATGATAAAAGCAAAGGGACTATTTTTGAACTCATTCTATGAGACTAGCATTACTCTAACACAAAAACAAAAGCAAAAAAAGACAGAGACTCTACAAGAAAAGAAAACTACAGATTACTATGTCTCATGAACATAGATGTAAAAATCCTCCACAAAATATTAGAAAATCAAATTCAACAGTTTATAACAAGAATTATACTCCATAACCAAGTATAATTTATTCCAGTTATGCAAGGTTGCTTTAAAATTTGTAAACTAATTAATTTCACTGATCATATCAACAAGCTAAAGAAGAAAAATGACATAATCATATCAATAGATGCAGAAAAAGCATTAGAAAAAAAATATATCTATTCATGATTAACTCTTTTCCCATTTAGAAAAAAAAAGTGCAGCTCCCTGTTATTGCTCATTTAATTTTACATAAACAGGTTCTTTGAGGCTAAAGCAAATCTGATTTTCAGTGTGAAAACAAAATATTAAAACTGTTATTGGAATTATTTCTAAAAAGGACTAACATCAGAATAATCTGAATCATCGGAATTGTCTCTTGGAAAAATGGGATTCATCAAATGAATCCTTAGCTAATAAATGTTTGAGAATGATGTAAACATCACGCATAGGAATGCTACATTTTCTAGGATTTGACATTTTCAGTGATTGAGAATTAGTACATTTTGTAAATGGAAACACTACTATGAATAAATGCCGCTACTAAAACCAGAATGCTATAAATAGAATGATGTCTCCTATTTTCAAAGTCGATGTAAGTATTCATATCATATATTCTTATTGCCCCAAGTATTCTTGTGGCAAGTGAGAAAAGGGTTAAAAAAGAAAAAAACAACTTCAGCAAACTAAGAATAGAGGGGAACTCCCTCAACTTGATAAACACCCATCTACAGAAAGCCTATAGTTAACATCACACTTAATGGTGAGAAATGAGATTTCCCACTAAGACTGGGAACAAGGCAAGGATGCCTCCTCTCACCACTCCTTTTCAACATCATTTTGGAAGTCTTTGTAAATGCAATAAGACAAAAAAAGTAAATAAAGATACACATATTAGGAAGTAAAACTGTCTCTGTTTGCAGATGACGTTGTTTATACAGTAAATCTGAAAAAATGAACAAAAAAACTAATAATCAATTACAGTCATCCCCTGATATTCATGGGCGATTTTTTCCAAAATTCCCTGCAAATACCAAAATTGAAGGGTGACAATTTCTTCGGAAAGTGAATATATGAGAGAGAGCAAGCTAGAGAGTCTGATACCTAGACAGAAGTTACAATCTTGTGTAATGTAATCACAGAAGTAAAATCTTATCAGTCTCCATAGTGTATGAGTTAGACGCAAGTCACAGGCCCTACCCACATTCAAGAGGATGGGATTACACAGGTCATGAATACCAGTCTGTGGAAGTAATTGGGGGTCCATTGTAAAGTGTGTTCACAATTGCTGAACGTAAATTTTCATCATGAGGAAAATGTTTTACATCTAAATTTAGGTGGTTAAATTATAAAGTCTATCTTTTGAATCAATCTAACTCAGGTGTTTTACTTCCCCACACCCATCCCCCTCCCACACATATCTGTGTCAGTTTTCTTGTATTAAAATCTCTCTATACAACCCTTACTGGGCAACTACTTATTGTCAAGGTCAGGAATGCTTTTCTTAAAGAGAAAAAAACCTGACTGTTGAACTAGATCACATTGGTACAAATCAATGAAGAAGATATACAAGCCTCTTCACTGGAGTTCTTAGGGTGACACTACTGCCTGCTGACATGAGTTGATTCCCACCTCTTGAATAGATGGAGATTAATAGGCCACTGGCAAACCTAGGGTTTTTACTCAGCTGAAACTCCAGCACTGAGGTCTCATCGAATTGGTTATGCTAGTTTAGAACTGTCCTTTTAGAAAGTTACTGTAATTTATTCTTTTGAAAAATGTCTGTTTATGCCCTTTGGCCACTTTTTAATGAGCTTACTTGTTTTTTGTTGTTTTTTTTTTTCTTGCTGAGATGTTTGAGTTCCCTGTAGAGAATGAATATTAGCCCTTTGTAGGATGCATAGCTTACAATTATTTCCTCACATTTTGTAGGTTGTCTGTTCACTGTGTTGATTATTTCTTTAGTGATACAGAAACTTTTCAGTTTAACTAAGTCCCATTTGTCTATTTTGTTTCGTTGCATTTTGTTTTGTTGAGGCCTGAGTCACGAATTCTTTGCCTAGACCAATGTCCAGAAGAATTTCTTTCTAGGTTTTCTTTTAGAATTTCCACAATTTTAATTCTTACATTTAAGTCTTTAATCCATCTTTAGTTAATTTTTGAATACGGTAAGAGATATAGGTCTAGTTTCATTCTTCTGCACATGGCTCTACAACTTTCCCAGAACGCTTTACAGAAGAAACTATCTCTCTTCATTGTTTATTTTTGTCAACTCTGTCAAAGATCAGTTGGCTGTAAGTATGTGGCTTTATTTCTGGGTTCTCTATTTTGTTCCATTAATATATATGTCTATCTTTCTACCAGTACCACACTGTTTTGGTTACTACAGCCTTGTAGCATAATTTAAAGTCAAATAATATGATGCCTCCAGCTTTGTTCTTTTTGCTTAGGATTGCTTTTGCTATTTGGGCTCTGCTTCGGTTTCATATGTGTTTTGCAGCAACACGAATGAAACTGGAGGTTATTATCTTAAGTGAAATAACTCAGAAACAGTCATATACTCTATGTTCTCATTTATAAGCAAGAGCTAAATAATGTGTACATATAAACATGTAGGGTGGGATGATAGACATTAAAGACTTGGAAGATAGAAGGGTGAGAGGGGTTGAGGGATGAGAAATTACCTAATGGTTACAATGTATACTTTTGTGTTATTATTACATTAAAATCTCAAACTTCATCAATACATAATATATGGACCTTGTACCACCAAATCTATAACAATACCAAAATAAAGTAAATGAATGTGATTTTTACAAGGCTCTTACCACACAGCTAAAACAGTCAGAAAATAAATGATTTATTCTCTTTTCCTTACAGATGAGTTTAAGTGGTGAATGGTTACAACATTATTACACAGTTGATAAATTTGTGGTTGGACCACTATAATGAATACTATGATGCTCTACCTAATTCCTCCCTTGACAAATGGGAAGGATTTACTTTCAAATAAACAAAGCTATCTCACCCAAGTTTTCATTCCCTCCCCTTACAGGCAGTCCGTATCTAATAAGTGGTCAATGTGAGAACATAAATACAAGCTTCCCTTCCCTCAATTGGAGTCAACTTTGAAGGTCAATCACAGCTTCAGAACTTGCCAGAAGTCCAACTGAAGTCAGAAGTTGGAGGCACCTGTGTCTGTATTCAAATTCTTCTTCCATCCACTCACTTCCTCACAGGTGTTGTTGCTCATAGCACTCCTCAATAATCTTCCTCCATACAAATTTTCATTTCAGAGTCTACGTGGGAAAACAGATCTAGGGCAACATCTTAGCTGTACTCTTCTAAACCTGGATGTTGGAGGAATTTATCAATTTAGGAATCCTCAGCAGGTTGTTTATAATAGGGATGATGAAAATGATAATAGCAATGATAGTTGATATAGTTTTGCTGTCCCCCCACCCAAATCTCATCTTGAATTCCCATATATTGTGGGAGGGACCTGGTGGAAGGTAATTGAATCATGGGGATGGTCTTTCCTGTGCTGTTATCATTACAGTGATTAAGTCTCATGAGACCTGATGGTTTTATAAGGAGGAGTTTCCCTGCACAAGCTTTCTCTTTGCCTGTTGCCATCCATGGTGACTTGCTGCTCCTTGCCTTCCACCATGATTATGAGGCCTCCCCAGCCATGTGGAATTGTAAGTCCATTAAACCTCTTTCTTTTGTAAATTGACGAGTCTTGGGTATGTCTTTATCAACAGCATGAAAACAGACAGGAAGCAACAATAAAATGAAGCAGGAAGCATAGGCAAGTTTTTAGGGTAGATGAGTTATAGTTATGTAGCAAATAGTGTTTCTACCACAATGAGTATATCTATGCTAATTGTAATTATAAGGCCAATCACTGAATCACGAGATTAACAACATTGGTCAACATATGCAAAAAATCCATTCTATCATTGCCTATAGCGCTCAGTTTGAAGTTTTATTTCTGCTATATCTGCTATAGTGAAAGCCATTAGTTACCAGGATGACCAGAAAAAAAAAAAAAAAAAGCCTTGTGTGGCTGTTTTAATTCTTCACATTTGCATTCTGGAAGGAACTGTTTTAAGAGTAGAAAATCTGCCAAAATTTTTTCTGGAGCCTAAATTTTTACAATGAAATCAACAAAAAGGTCTTTCAAACATGCTTGAATCACAACAGAACTACATCTTGAAAGCAAGGTGAAGAATAGGTAAAGGGGACCTCTTCCCAACATTTTAACTCAGAGAACTACACATGTTTTGTAGTCTAAAACTATCTATTTTTGTGACTACCAGGCCATTGGAAATCACTGTACTTTTGATTTTGAGAATACAGTGAAATAAAAAAAAAGAATAATCTTTAAAGATCTTTGAGTTTGATTTGAGAGCTCAAAATAATAATTATTTGTCTATCTAGTGGGTAAAGAGAGAGTAAAGAAAGGCTAATTAGTCCTCATGCAAATAAAATTACAACATTTTAGAGCTGGAAATATTTTTATAAACCCTTTAAAAGAAACACAGACATAATTGTGACCATATTGAAAGGTAAGCATAAAATATTTTATCTATTACGACTGCAAGTCTTTTCTTCAGTCATTGTCATTGGCATATGTCTGAAGAAAAGAAGGTTCATGCTGTGATAAAAGCAGAAGTAGAATATTAATAATGCAGAAAACCCTGGCTTCTCATTCAGTAAACAAACTGATCACATCAGAAATTTATAAGAAGAAAGAGAAATGCACTATCTTCTAATGGCCCCCTACCTGCCTAATTACTGTTTGGTTATAGTGTCTGAAAATTAGCATAAATATAGGTCATACCTCAAAGCATAAATATTACACTCCATCAAATATTCTTCATACAAATATAAATATTAAAGTAAATTTACCATGCTGGGTTCTTGTTCAGCTCTGAAAGTTATATAAAGGCTCTAATTTAAATTTTATATATGGCTGAAAGCCTAGTTTATTTCAAAAATTGATTATTTTTATTCCTTTGACATGGGTCAAAGATATTTGTCTCCATTCATTAATAAAACACGTAGTGAACACTATGTGCAAATCACTGTGCTAAGTATTATGGAGAACGCAAAAATGAATACAATTTCACTCCATTTAATAAACTTTAAGTGATTTCTCAAAATGTATTCAATAGAACTCAAGTTTTTATAGATAACAAATAGGTAATAATAGATAAACAAAATATTTAGATAATAATAGATAAAATATTTAGACAATAATAAACAAGAATTCAAGTTTTTATAGATAAAAAATAATAATAATAAACAAAATATTTTATGCTTACCTTTCAATATGGTCATGATTATGTCTGTGTTTCTTTTAAAGGGTTTATAAAAATATTTCCAGCTCTAAAATGTTGTAATTTTATTTGCATGGGGACTAATTAGCCTTTCTTTACTCTCTGTTTACCCACTAGATAGACAAATAATTATTACTTTGAGCTCTAAAATCAAACTCAAAGATCTTTAAGAACTCAAGTTTTTATAAAATGGAAACTTCTGAGTTGTCACAGTAGGAGAATAAGGGCAAGTTAAAGGAGCTGATGTTTTCCCAAAATTATCTTCACTTTATTCATACCCATATTTCTTTAATTTCATGTGTCTTAATTCTTCTGAGGAAGTCTTTATTAAATCAAATGGATTTTTTTTGTTTTAGAAGTTTGAAAATCAGTGAATGAGTTGGAAAAGAGCTAGGTCAATTTCTATGGTTTAGTAATTTATTCAATGCAACATATTTTTACTGCATGCCTCTTGATCCTACAGACATTAAAAGAATATGAGAGAACACTATGAACAACTTTAGGCCAACAAATTTGACAACTTACATGGAAATGTACAGATTTCTTAAAGAAAAACCCAAGTTACTAAAACTGACACGAGAAGAAATAAAAATTCAAAATGCCCTAACACTTACTTGAAAAATTAAATTCATCATTAAAATTTTTCACATAAAAAATGCTTAGGCCTTAATATCTTTAACAGTGAGTTCTGTTGAATATTGGAAAAGGAAATAATGTCCATCATATAAAAGAACTCCCAGAAAACAGGGACTGGGCCTCTGAATCTCTAATACCAAAATACGACAAATACATAAATACATTACAAGAAAACAAAATTACTGACCAACAACTCATGAGCATAAACACAAAATCCTTAATAAAATACAGCAAATTAATTTAGTAATTTGTATATAGAATAATACATCATGACGATGTAGAGCTTATTTCAGCAATACAAAGTTTATCTATCAAATGAAAATCTATTAATGTGATTTCTATATTAATAGAGTAAGGCAGAAAAGCCATATAATCACCTCAATAGATACAGTAAAATAAGTGAAATAATTCAACATCTATTCATGAAAACAATTACCAGCAAACTAGTAATAGAAGGAAATGTCCTGAAACTGATGAAGGACATCTACAAAAATACTAAAGCTAACATTATTCTTAAGCGAGAAGCATTAAAAGTTTCAATCTAAGACTGTAAACAATGCAAATATTTCCACTCTCTTCACTATTCAACATTGGACTAGGTGCTGGGAAAACAATAAAAAACACAGAGCAAAATGAGCAAACATCCTTCTATCAAAATTTTATATGCTTTGACATAATGAGAAATAAAATATGACCTTCAATAAAGTATGAGAATATATCTAGTTGTTTTAGTTCAGGGGTCTAAATATGTCTCAAAATTCATACGTTAAAATATGAACCCCAAAGGTTATGGTATTAGGAGGTGGAGCCTTTTAGAGGTGAGTGGTCCATAAGGGCAGTGCCCTCACAAATGGGATTAGTGTCCTTACAAAAGAGGCTCAAGGGAGACCTCTCACCCCTTCTACCATGTGGGGACACAACAAAGGCACCACCTGTGAA
Organism: Homo sapiens; assembly: GCF_000001405.40. NCBI lineage: Eukaryota > Metazoa > Chordata > Mammalia > Primates > Hominidae > Homo > Homo sapiens. The sequence goes on along the minus strand of NC_000011.10, from coordinate 37,266,803 downwards.
CCAGAGAGTTGGTTCTTACCAGACGACAAATCTACCAGTGCCTTGATCTTGGAATTCCCAGCCTCCAGAACTGTGAGAAATAAATTATTGTTTATAAGCCACCCAGAATAATACATTTTGTTACAGCAGCAGCCTAAACAAACTAAGACAGACACCCCCTGGATAGATTACTTATTACCATTTGACTTATATAAAGAAACATGCTCCAAACTAATATAACATAGCTAGTCTTCTGGCTGCATCATTACAAATGGAAACTGAAAAATATTCAACAGCTCAGATGTATGCCATCATCACAAGCCTTCTAGATTATCCATTTGTTATCTATGTACTATTGAATTAAAAACAAAACAAACACACACACACACACACACACACACACCATTTCTGAACTTACTGCTCTTTGAAAGCACATATTTTATACCTGAGAATAATCAAGTGCAACTCCAAAAAGAATAGGTCTATTCAATATGCAAGCTTTCAGAAAATATGCATGCCCATGATGAGGCCTATGTGAGGTGCAAAACTCCAATTACCATAGTACAATCAAACCTGCATTTAATTCCTTTATACCTCTCCCAGACCGCACATGAAGCACTTTCGGAATCTAATTGGCATGAAAGGCAGGATAAACTATGCACAACAAATGAATGAAACATTCAATGTATGAAACAATGTCCATTAAGATTATCCTCATTCCATAAAAGTGTTGTTTGGAAGTTTTTAAAAAACTCTGAGGGTTTTGAAGTCTTCCTTAATTGACTTGAGTGCAGTCTCTTGGCTGAGTTTTCTGGGAATTGTTTGGTTATGACTTGATGCTTTTCCTAAAAATGCTACACTTTGGAATAGGCCTTTTTTATATTAAAAAAAAAAACATGGCATTACAATCAAGACTGCTCAAGAAGATGACCAATTAGTCTTTTGAAAATGGAGATTATTAAAATCAGATCATTTTATTAAGCTTGGATACAAATTACAATGGAAGAACAACAGATGCTTTGAAACAAAACCTATATTAGCTATGTTCCATCTATCCAAAAACACTACTGAAAGAAATCTGATTTCATAGATGACCAATAGTAATTCCCATCAAGTGTTAAACATTGTTGTTTAAAAAGTAAAGTCCTCCAGGAAGAAATTCCATAGTGCATATATTCTGAATGGAGTTGTTTGTCATCCTCTGGCTGTCGGGGCACTAATCACTTATTTCAATTGCTTATTTCAATTATTTGTTTGCTTGGTTCTTATTCTGAAAGAACTTCAAGCTCCTGAAACAACTGTCATAGTGGTCCTTTCATGTACTAATCCTTAGTACAGGTCCTACTTCATAGTATGCACTCATATATTATTATGGAAAGAAGGAGGGATGAGAGGAATGGGAGAAAGAAAGGCAGGATGAAAATGTGAAAAAAATAAGCTTTCACTAGCCTGATCTAATTTTTAAAAGTTTAGTTCATAATGGAGCCCAATTATTTTTTCTAAAATTGTCTCCTCATGGGACTCTCTGAGGGTATTTATTAAAATAATCAATAGTTTTCATCTCTATGAGACACTTTCCATCAACATATAAACAAATTATATTTACCATATTAAAAAAGAGAAATAAAACTATATTTATTTGTCTTCTTTTCTCTACTTCCTATCTTCTTAGTTATATGATCAAAGAGGTTGCATAGCTTCCCCAAAGGCTCCACATGCAAGGATTAAGGTGAAGGCTAAACACTAGAACTGGGTCTCCTGTCCTTATGCTATTTTATTACTCTAAACGCACATGAAGCAAGACAACGGGATATGATCACACAATGAGATCATCTCCGGCACTCCCCCTCACTCCTTCCTGCAAGGCTTGACTCTGAGCTCCTTTCCTGGCCAGACTACAATGGCAAAGCCATCTGTTTTGTAATTTTATTCTTTCACTTGTCTTCCATGTAGTGGACTTTTGTGATTCAACTATCAGACTAATCTGAAGGGAGAGACCAGCCTATTTCTCAGCCAGGATGCGTTCAGTGTGCAGATTTAGGGGTAAAGTGTCTTGGCTCTCTATGACTATGGAAGAAAGCACCTATTCTTAAGCTTGGCATTGGAGATTCATCTTGGGCAGGTTCCAAGCTATAACTCCGATACCTTCTCTGCCTCTAATTCTGCTCTACCTATGCCCATAGCAGCCTGGATTGCCTAAGAATGAATATGACCTAAAAGCAAGCCTCATCTAATTATTGTTATGAGGTGGTCCATGAATAGCCAAGCTTTCTCATTCTTCTTGTTGGATACTCTAAAATACACATTTACAGTGGCTCCCAGAGCCTCTTTATAGCATCAAGTTTTAGTTGCCCACAATGTTAATTTGCCTAATAACTTTTCTTTACTGGCCATCTTCCCATCCTACTCTCACTTTCCCACTTCCTTTCCACTATTTCTGTGTTTATATCCCAAGATAAATTAATTGCACTTTAATCCTTGCCTCGGAGCTTGATTCTGAGATGAAAATTAAAGAACAAAAAACACTTTTAACTGCAAACTTATATTCCAGCTGGGGATTACACATCTCTATTTGGATGTTTAATAGGCACTTCAAATTTTACATGCTCAAAACTGAATGCTTGATTTTCCATTTCCTGGAAACATTTATTATGTCTGTTTTCTCTTCTCAGTTGATGGCAACTCTATCTTTACAGTAGCACATTCTCCAGCCTCTAAATCACTGTTGACTCATCTCTATTTTTCACAGTCCAAGAGTTCCCTACCCCGTTTAATTTGCTCTAACTTTTTTCCTACAGTAATTATCATCTTATATAATATTATATAATCTACTTATATGTTATGTGATGTTGTTACTGTCTGTGTTACTCTGCTAGAATGCAAACTCCCTGAAGGACTAAATTTCTATCATGTTCATTGGACATGACTTTGCTTTTTATATATTCATAGTCTAGTTTATATCCAGTGATTTTTTTTATACTTGAGAAATTTTATATTTATTTATTTTTATGGAAACGTGTTTATGTGAGTATTTCTACATAGATAATTGTGAAATTAGAGTGAAAGTGGAGACAAATAAAACTAATAATCTTGGTGGCCGAGATCTACAGTCACACGAAAGAAAACACTGGCCGGGAACGGTGGCGCACGCCTGTAGTCCCAGCACTTTGGGAGGCCAAGACAGGTGCCTCATGAGGTCAGGAGTTCGAGACCAGCCTGACCAACATGTTGAAACCCTGTCTCTACTAAAAATATAAAAATTAGCAGGGCATGGTGGTGGGCACCTGTAATCCCAGCTACTCAGGAGGCTGAGGTGGGAGAATCGCTTGAACCCTGGAAGCAGAGGTTGCAGTGAGCCGAGATCGCGCCACTGCACTCCAGCCTGGGTGACAGAGCGAGACTCCATCTCAAAAAAAGAAAAATAAATAAAATAAAATAATAAAAAATAAATTTAAAAAAGAAAACATTATATGGTAGTTGATTTCAAAGATACACACACGTTTAGATGCTCTTACATAATATATTTTTATTTTATTAAGTTAGAATGATGAATAGTTGGGTACTTATAAAATATCTCAAATTCCAATATGAAATGATACATCATCAAGGAAATCATGTTCTAAATTTTCAAGAAAAAATATCTGGAAAGCCATCACAATTATTGAAAAAAAAAAACACACTAAAAGAAGAGCTCCCTTTTACCTTTTATTTTAAACACAGAAGGCCTAAGTTATCTTTTTATTATATCTTTGTTATAAATTTTTGAAATTTTGACTGTTTCTCAAAGGCATGCAGTTCTACTTCTCCATTTAAATAGTGGAAATATATTAAACACTGAATCGGTGTCTAGTGTTTGCTTTCCTTGCTTGTTTGTTTTGCATGTTGGTGATGTTTTGGTTTTATGAAACAGTATTGCTTGATTTACTCTTAGGAAAACAGATTTTATAATGAATTTGCATGTTGGCTTAGCAAAAGCTTAAAATACAGAGGTTGATTAAAGTATTGCAATTCTGTTATGGAAACAAAAATAGTATGATGTAATCAAATAATACCCAGTTAAATAAGCTGGCAAATTAGGTAGCCACTTATGTTTTGTGTTTTCAGTGACAATCAATGTCCCATTTACCCTCATACATCCCTCTGCTTGACTTTATTTTAATCAAATCTTCATCTGTAGAATTAACCTGAAATCATGTTTTCTAAATTCTCATCCAATCTATGATTCTTCTTTACAGGATTCCCAACAGTTTAAACGCAAGCCCTTTAATAGAACCTCTAGTGACTCAAAGATTCACTGTTCTTAAAAAGCAGTAAGAGCTAGCGTGTGATTAAAGGAACGTGGACTTTCACCATACCTGTGTTCAACTACTCATATAGATCATTGAGGACTTCGTATGACAGTGGGAAACAAAAACAAAAACAAAACTCACTAGCTGTAAATTTGACTTCTTGAACTTCACTTTCCTCAACCAAAAAGTAAAGCCAAAATGCTTTGTGTGGGATGTTACGAAGAATGCAATATATGTAATGTGTGCCTGACCCACAGAAGGTATTCAATAAATGGTAAATATCATTATTATTCATTTCTGCATCTCTTTCATATCTCCACTTGTTTTACAACTGAGAATATTTTCCTTTTTATTACTTAATAAGCCCTAGACAACAGTGCTGCTTATTGGAAGTCTATTTCCTATTTCAGAAAACCATTTGTCTTTCCTAAACAACTGTTAAATTTCTGCTTCCCATTTACTAGTGCATAACTCATCAGTTTCTGAATCTCTCTGAATTACCAAAAGCTCTAAAGGTTTTAAGTTCCATCAGTAGCAATTATATGGCTCCTACCGTTACTATATTTATATTTTTATACTTAAACTGCAATGCTAGCTGGCAACAAGCTTTTTTGTTGCCATTTTTGGTCAATCATTTCAACCTTTTATTGGAAGTGTCAGGATGTAATAAACGACATGAAAATTGTACATGGTTCCCTAAAAAGTGAAGAACCATTATTTTAGACTTAAAAGGATAATTTAGCCCCCATCTATGTTTATCTTTGCATTCTCCTTAACAAAGGTTTTTACTGAGCAAAATAAAGGGTAAATATGATTATGAAACAGGTTGTCCCACTAGTTTTCATGCCCTTTATAAACATTTCATACGCAAGCTACAAATGCTTCACTTGATTAAAGCAGGATCTCTAAAAGTCATATACCTGATAAAATGTTGTTAGTCTAATTTGAGTTATAGCAGTGCTATAGATACTAAAAGACTATTTGCTTAAAGTCTCATAGCAGTTTTATTTTCACAAATTTATTGCACATTTGGTGTGAATTAGTAAGATATTAAGTCAGACATAATCATTGAATTAAGAGAAATTTTTTTTCTGTAAGCTTCCAGGAACACATTGGCTCTGAGATATATACCAGGTATTATTTTCACAGTTCTGTATAACTTTAGTTTAGTTTGTGTAACACTTCTTAACAGCCTGAAGACTTGCTTCTCTTGTCAGGTAAAAACTAAATTCCCCTCATCCATTATTAAAGATTGTTTATCAAGATGCTACAGATGATTAGTGTAAGCCTTATCATCCAGTGTAGCCCAGCTGGATACCTTAGCTGGAAGGAGTTCTTGAAATTAAGAAGCTTAGTAATGATAAGGGAAAAAAATCATTCATTCTTGTTTTCCCCAGATTCCAGAAAATAAATCAGCAAAAAAAGAGCTTTGAGAGGCAAACATCTGAGAAGGAAATAATTGTACTGCAATTGGTACACCATGGCTGCACCTGTCATTTATAACCCTGAATAATACATCTCACATTCCTTATATCTTGGCATATACTGAAATTGAATATATTCATTTTTGTCTTAATTCTTTTGAAATGGTTGATAGTTGGGTAGCTTTGAGTGTTGCTAGTCCTTCTGAAGACAGCGTTAAGGAGAAATCTCTTAAGGTATCTGTAGCTTCACTATTAGACCCATATAAGATATTCAAAGTAACTACAAGGTAGAAAACGTTTTTCCACAGGTCTCAAACTACATCTTCTTTTGGAACAACATTCCATGATGTTTATTTGACTTCAAAAGGCACTGATGATAGACTTGTCTAAAGATCCATTTCCCATCATGTATGTGCCATAAAGCAATGCCTAACTTTGTCAAAATAACGTTGCAAAATTCAGAATGAAAAAGAAAGAATTTCAGGGTAAAAATTAAAGTCTATGAGTCATTATTTTTTGAGTATACAATAAGGAATTAATAATCAGATAACATTTTAAATCTTAATGAAGAGATGAGCTTTAAAAAGTACACATTTGCTTTTTATTCTTCTCTTTTCCCGAACAAGTTTTTAATCCCTTCTGATGTTCTGTTTTTTTCCTTTGATACTAAAAAATACACCTGCCAGCTGAGATGTTATAGAAACCTACTTACATAATCAATTCTAACTCCCTGCTATTTTCAAAAGAAAAAAACAAATTTCCAGAATATAATACAGAAAGGTGTGGAACTCTGCAATGTTTGATTATAATTATTTTTTTATAATTATAACCCACTCTAAACTGAATTAAAGAAGGAAAAAGTACATTTTAAAAATATTGTTTTAAAGCTTATTTTAAAGGGTCTATAACTAATATACTTTCTCTGGAATAAGCTAGTTGCTGCTTCATTCATCATCATATTTAGTTCAGAACTTCTTGACAAATTAGGGAAACTGAGAAGTTTATTAGGTAATCTAGTTCTCAATGTCCAATAAAATTACTTATTTATATTCTTCTGTTGCCTAGAGGGGATCCTAGGCCAACCAGCCTCCCATTAATCTGCCGGCTGACTGCAGCCACATGAATAAGTACGGCAGAAAAGATTAGGAAAATAATTGCCCTAATCAAATTGCTGACTCAGAAAATCCTGAATAAATAAATAGTCGTTGTTGAAGTCCTATGTTTTAGCATAGTTTGTTTATACAGCAAAAGTTAACTGATACATGGCATTTAAACCAGTCTCTTTTGTTTTTACCAATATCAGTGCCATTATCATACAATCACCCCCTGAAAGAAATGAAAATGATTAAATAATGTACCTAAACATCTCTCTTAATCCAGGCTTCAAATCACCTTTGTATTGTAAGGGTTTTGCTATTTGCTATGAAACATCCAGTTTGAGTTTGCAGTTACTCATTGAAAGAACCTATTAAAAACAGAACATACACAATAGGTTAATTTGTAAACTACTCTTCTCATTACAGAGTAAACAAGAAAAGCATTCACTTCTTCTTTCTTTCATGAACAAAGAATGCAAATCCTACCTTGGGTTTGAAAACCAACCAAGACCTTCCCATCCAGCTGAGGCAGGTGTTAAAGTCACTTTGCATACAATTCCAACTATATTAATCTAAGTAAGTATTCATGTCTATTTCCTTACAAAATTGCTTTCCCCTTCCAAACATTAACATCAAATGTTAGGCCCATTTGAATCTCTAAAATAATAAAACATTTCAAACTAGCAAAGAGGAAGAAATCATGGTTCTTATATAGTTGTGTTACTTTACCAAATCAATCATAGTGGGATCATGCTTTATCACCTTTTTTTTTTTTTTGAGTTAGCTTTAAGTATTCTACACTAAAATTCTACAAAAAGTTAATTCCACCCTGAAACAATATTTCTCAGTTTCAGGTATTTCTGAATTTCTTTCGGTAGCCTATGTGTTTTTACTGGCGACAGATTTATTGTAATTTTTGATCTATTTTTCTGAATAGGAATATAATTTTTACATTTAGTAATATTAAAATATAAAATTATAATGAAAAATTACTTTGAAAATTGCAAAACAACCAAGAAAAATATTTTTTAAGTGGGAATTAATCGTAGGTGAGATTTAGAACCATTCTGAATATTACCATATCTATTTCCATTGCCAAAGCTTCCCCACTGAGCTTCTGGATATTTGCATATCAGAAGTACCTCCATTTAAACTTTTTCAAAATAAAGCTTTTATTTACTACACCTTCCTATATTTCCATATATTTTTATTGTCCCCATATTGGTAAGTTGCATTACCATCTACCCAATTACCCACGTTAGGAATCTGGGAGCTATTCTTGAATTCCACCTTTCTTTCCTTCTGTCATCTACATGAAATCAATCACTAAGTTGTGCTCATATTGTCTCCTGAAGGTCTCTTTGATCCATTCATTCTCACTGTCTGTTACTTCTATTCTAGTCCAAGATAATCATTCTCCACCTCGATTAATGTGTTTCAGCTGATATCCTTACTTTCCCTCTTTTCTCTCCTCCAACCTACCATATCCAGAAAACACAAATACGATTGTGTAACCCTCCTCCTTCAACACTTCCAAGGCCACTGCCTTTTAGATTTAACTTCCAATGACTTCATAACACCTTTGTGATCTTGCCCATCTTTGTCTACATTCTTATCTTGCAAGCCTCTCTCTGGTATTCTACAATCTTCACCGAATTTCTCTCCATTTTGGTCCATGTCATTCTCTGTCACACATAAAAGGCCTTCTCATATCTTGTTTCCTCCTATGGACACTTTCTTACTCCCCCTCATTAATTTGGTTTATTTATGCATTCCATGATTATCTCTTACACACATGCTTGCATGTGCACACAACACAAACATATATACTGTCCTCCAAGATAGAGAAGGTCCTCTGTTCTGAGCTTCTGTAATACCTTCTGCTACCTCTAGCACACAACTTACTATACTGTGTTTTTAAATGTGTATTTCCTCCAATAAGCAAAATTTCAGAAAGTTGGGAATTGTGTTTTATTTCTAATTACTTATTGAATGCCTATAAAAATGCCTGCTGTGTGGTAGGCATCAAAAGGTACTGAATAAAATAGCAAACAGAGGTGGTGCCTTAATACATCCCATAGACAGACCGTCTTAAATAACACATGGCTTACATAAGGTTTCAACCAATAATAAACTGTGGATAATGCATAAATGAGTTTGTGCACAAATGCCTAAACACCTTGTATGCCATATTTCTAATCTACTAAAGACATAATATTCCATGTTGCTAATCAAAAAGCACTTCAAATGCTTTAGATACCATACTTAGTAATGGCAAAAAACTAGCTGTGAAATTTTGCTGTGATATACAAAACTACCTACTCGTTCGTGGCAGTGGGTTACAGAGTTGTCCATAAATAATACTAAAGCTTATTTTATCATTCAAGAGCTTTGAATTTGCTTTAGTATCTTGGCAAATATTCAGCTGAGATGATATATTCATATGCCATAAAGTGTGGAAAATACAATTTGTGCATACCTCAAAATTTTAAGACATGCTACCAAAAGGCCAATTTGTGAATGATTGAAACTGAATATAGTACCTCTATAATGTGTAATTTGGGGAACTATGTTTATTTATGGGCCTAACTGATGTTCAAAGACTATTGTGACCTCCTTGAAGAAAAGGATTATACTTTAATTGTAGTCTCTTAGAAAACAGTGAGAATTCAACCTGCGTTCACACAATGAAAGAAGGAAACACAGAAATACAGAAACAGAAACACATACACATACAATAACAGCTAAATCAAGTGCCAGAATCATAAACCAACGATACCATATTAAGAGTTGGAAAAACTGATGTGTGTGTTCTTGGCCGTCTAGACTACTGGAATCTATGTAGGCTAATATGCTTTAATTTAAACTTAATTATAAGAAAACTAAAAGTTCCAGACAGAATTTTCTTTGATAACAGCTTTTGTTGCATGGAAATGTGTAAAGACTTCTTAGAGTTCACCTTCTTTTCTGAGCACTTGGAGGTTTACACATCTCTAAACCCATAAACTTAGGCTCAGCTATATAAGTATTTATAGCCAATGGCTTGTAAGCAAATGTAATATGTGTCACTAAAAGATTAAATAGTTAATTTTAGTAAGAGTGTTTTTTGTTTGTTTGTTTTTTGTTTTCCTGATGCATCAAGGAGTTCCCACAATCTTAATAGTACATACTACATGATGGAAGAAATGATTCTCTTTGTCTGTATTACTGAGTGGTGTCATGGAGGACATTGGTCTATAACTACAAAGCTTCTGATAACAAATAAGTCTTGTGTTGTTTTAAGTCTCTGAGATTTGGGGGTCTTTGTAATCACAAAGTAACCTAAACTAGGACTATTACAGCTTAAATTTGCAATTACCAGAGGTACTCAAATTGCCCAAATGCAATAGTAAACTTAACAAGGTAGAGAAAGTTTCCAGAAATCTGAAAGTACTCTCTTTTCACCTTTCTGAGACTGCATTGCCTGAAGATTTTTAGTCTAAAAAGAGTCTCTTCTTCAGCATAAAGTGGCTCAATGTCTATATAAGTCTTTAATTACCTTGATATTTAACAGATGAAGTAGAGAAGTTAATATAGACAATGAATGTAGTCTTAAGTAGCTACTCCAGGGAGGTACAAAAATTGGTTGCTAGTAGTGGTGACCTTTAACTAACAGAAGAATGGTATAGCACTGGTCACCTTAGGGATTTAATGTGGTTGTTTAAAAAAAGAGATTGCCTGTTGAAGGTGGCCTTTGGCAGCTATTGCTGTATTTATGCTATCAGCAATTCAGCCAACACTGCGATTTTATGTTCCAAAAATGTAGACCAAAATAAAATGAACTACTGTATATTTTACTAAAGAAAATTAGAAAATTCTATTGCCAGTAGTTTAGAACTTCAGACTAAAATAAAACTTAGGTATCAATTATGTTTTCCCAGATTAGAAAGCTTTGATCCAAAGAGTACCTTGTTCAAGGTCAGAGGCAGATCCAAGACAAGAACACAGATCTCCAAATTCCCAAGCCAGTGTAGGCCAATCAATATTTAAGGAACAATGACTGAGACATACTTAAAATTTTTATTTTAAGTTCTGAATAATAAAATTCTAGCCTTAATTTTTGCTTTTTGATTCATACATGTGATAAAACTTGACCTAGCAGGATAACTATCCATCTTTCACAAACAGCCAAAGCAAGATAGAAAAAGCTGAATCATCCATTGGTATTAACACATCAGGCTCGTAGCTCTGGACAGTACATTATCGCCAAAGGGAAATGACAAATGAAAATGCAAGTCTGAAATGTTCGACCTAACCCCCCTTCATCCTTTAGGTGTCGGGTGAAATGAACACTTCCACATGAAAGCTGTCCCTGGTCCTCTATAGTATGCAGAACTGGCTTCCTGGCCATACAACCTTTACATTTCCAAGTCCTGTACTTGTTCCATTGTCATCATCTTCAAATTCTTAGTAATTTTTGAATAAGAGGCTGAAGTTTTATTTTGCATGGAGCCCTTGAAATTACATGGCCAGTCCTAATGTTGTGTTTATTTGCTTTGGTGTTTACACTGAGAACACCTTGCATTTCTCCTTCTAGCATGACTATGTTTAATTATTTAAGACCTTTTTTGCTATTTCTTTCCACTTTTATAGTGTCAGCTCCAGGAAAACAAAAAGTAAGTTTTATCTATTTCACCTTTTTATTCATCCTGCTTAGTGGAGTTGCTGGATTAAAATAGCTTTGATAAAAATCTGTTGATAAATATACAGATGAATAAATCAATAAACTGATTCACTTTTAGTAAATGGATAAATAAAAGAAAATTGGAGAATATTTTTGACTTGAATAGAATGATAGGCATCCTGGAGTTTTTTGGGGAGGTTAAAAAAATGACAGCAGATATATAGAGAGGGAGTAAAGTACGGCGAGTTATAAAAGTCAAGCAAAAAAGTTGGTACTTGACATATGTGGAAATACAGAAGTTCTCATGAGCTTTTAAGGTACAAAATTATAACACAGTTAGTGCCTAGGTTTCTAGGTTGAATTTTATATCCTTTAACATGGTATTCCTCTGTTTCTGTAATAGGAATAAAATGTCATGGCATATTTTACTATTTAGTAACAAATTCCATTCACCATCAACTATGTCACACGTTTTACCTGACAATCCTCACACAAACCCTTTAATGCTGGTTCCAAATTTTTCAAAAAAAGGAAATTGAAACTTTAAAAGATTAAATAATTTTCCCAATATAACATCAGAAGAGGAAGTTATGGAATTTGGGAACAAGTTTCTTTGAGAAAATTATCAAAATTTTCCTGCCATTTAAAGATGTGTTCTCAGCTTAACCCTTTACGTTTTAGGTGAATATTTAACTACTTTGTATAAACTAGCTCTGTGTAACTATTGGAAGAGAATCACACAGGTAAAATATGCTTAGGACCAGCTACATGTTCTATTGAGAACATTTTCTATATGAATTAAATCTCAAAGAATTTAAATGATGTCTCTGGAAATTTTCACTTTTTGTCAAGTCCTGGAGGAAGATAAGAAATTTTGAGATGATTTTTCACCAAAGATACTCCAATTACAAACATATTAACCTTTTTCAGAGAGAATTAGAGGAGAGAGAATAGAAAAGATTTAGGGCCAGAGCAATACTGCATAACATCTTTTTAAACACTGCAATATTTAAAGAAAATGGAGCTCCAATTGAATTTAAAAAGACATAAAATAGTTCAATTTGATTATAATTTAACCTAGTTAAATCATAAAATAATTAAAATAAAATATTCAAATCCAATCACTTTGAGATAGCTCTTGGCATAGGCCTCTGAGTAAATGTTTATGGTCATCTCTACCCAGAAGTTTACTGTTATCATTGATAGTTTTATATCATTACTACTGTTATAATTAACCATTAATCGAATGTGTATTATGTTGTCTTCTCTCACTTTAGATACTAGCCGTGGTCCTGCTACATAGATGTCAAGAAAGAAAGATATCACTTAAAGCCTTCAGCAGGTTGGAAATAAATGTGATATGAAATTTGGCTGAATAATCTGGTTGCCCTACATAAAGAATACAAAGTCTTCACTTCTATATATTCACAAAATATATATATATATATATATATTCACAAAATCTATATATATTCACAAAATAAATTCAATTTTATTAAAGGGCTGCCTTTCTTAAAAAAAAGAAAGCATAAAATTACTAGGTTATTAGTATAGGTTTGAGGATCAGAACAGCTAAGATTTCATTTTTGCTCCACTTCTTATTAGATGTGTGACGTTAAACAACATAATTTATCTCTCACCCTACCCTCGTCTTTTAATCTCTAAAATAGAGATTATTATTTATTTTCTAAAGTTGTTGTAAGGGATTAACACATGTAAAGTTCTTAGTATTTTCTGTAGGTATATAAGTATACAGTTATGTTAATATCACTGTTATGTTCAATCAGTATGAATCTGTCCTCATAGATTACTTTGTCATTTTAATGTAACAAATTTAAATAGAAATATGAGATAAGAGGCTGGGCGCGGTGGCTCACGCCTGTAATCCCAGCACTTTGGGAGGCGGAGGCAGGCGGATCATGAGGTCAGGAGATCGAGAACATGGTGAAACCCCGTTTCTACTAGAAAATACAAAAATTAGCCGGGTGTGGTGGTGGGCACCTGTAGTACCAGCTACTCAGGAGGCTGAGGCAGGAGAATGGCGTGCACCCAGGAGGCGGAGCTTGCAGTGAGCCGAGATCACGCCACTGCACTGCAGCCTGGGCGACAGAGCGAGACTCAGACTCAAAAAAAAAAAAAAAAAAATTAGAGAAATACTGTTATTGATTTTAATGTTGAAACATTATCTAAATAAGTTTCAAGAAAACAGTCAATTTTCTACTTGCCATTATTTGTACATACATGCATTAATTTTTTAACTTTACTGTGACAAAATTTATATACATTTGGAAATCACAGATATTAAGTGCACAATTTGATGGGTCTTGATACATGTATAAACCTGTGAAGCCAACACTTCAGTGAAGATATAGAATAGTACCATCATCCCAGAGAGTTTTCTCATAGCCCTTTCCTGTCAATCTTCACATTCCAAAAGAAATCGCCGTTTTAATGCCCATCTTAATGGCTTTGTTTGCAGATTTTATATAAAAGGACTCACATATTTAGTACTCTTTTTTTGAATGGTTTATTTCCTTAATATCATGTTCTTGAGATTCAGTCATGGTGTTATATCTATTGCTGGTAACAACATTTCAATATATGAATACATTACACAATAGTTTATTTATTCCTATAGTGATGGACATTTTTTCCCCATTTTCTTTTCCTTGAATTTCTTAAATATGTTTACAATGGGGTTTTAAATTTCTAGTCTTCTAATTTTATCAGGTGGAGCATCTCAGGATCTATTTATATTGACTACTGCTTTTCTTATGTTGTATTTTGTGTTACATGTTTCTGCTTTGTCATATACTTATGAATTTATTATCATATACTTAGACAATATAGATACTACATTTAGAGCATCTGTTATACTGTCTTTATTTAAAAAGTATTATGTTTTAGTCTGGCCAGCAGAACTAGTTCTAGCAAGTCTTTTCTATACTTTCACACTTTTTTTTTGTTTTTCCCTGGCAATATTTTAAGAAAATTGGTATAGACAGAAATAATGAAAGAATTATACAGTGATGGTAGTATGAGTGAAAACTCAAATCCCATCATTTTGAGATAGTTCTTGGCAACAATCTCTCATATACCGCTCATGTGAGTGAAAATTCATATACCACCATCTTTTACAATTGTCAAAACTTTGCTACATTGATTTGGTTTTACATCTGTTTATCCATCCATATGTCATTTGTTGATACATTTCAAGGTGAGTTGCAAGCATCAGTAAACTTCACAACTAAAAAGTTCAGCATTTCAGGCTTATTAATATGGAGCTACATTGATTTTTGTCCTTAGTCTTAAGAGCATATCCCTTCCTCCAGGGTGTTGTCATTACTGTCAAGGTGGGGATTTTCTATAGCCTCAATTGAATGTTTGAGGTTCTCACCAAGATTACTCTGACTGCTATTTAACTCTAATGTCTCCCAGCACGGTATGACCGCTAGTGTCTGTTGAGATCTCAGTCACACAGTAGCCACTATCTTTGTGGAGTCTTACTGTGTGTATACTCAGTGCAGACTAGTGTTCAGGAAGTTCTTTCTTATGCAGACATATCTTATAATCTCTCTACATAGCTCTCTTCTCTTTATACAATGCCCTGTTAACACTAGCTGCTTCACCAGCCTAGAATTCATCACCCTTGCAGTTTAACTCAAACAAAATCTTGCGCTCTGCTTGGACTTCAAACCCTTGCTTTAACAGCTAAACAAGCGCTGTTCAAAAGAGCCTCCTGTGATGATAAAAAAAAAACGTCCAATTCTACACTGCCCAATATGGAAGCCATTAGCAACACACTGAGCACTAGAAATGTGTATTGTTTGAGGCACTGGATTTATAATTTTAGCAAATTGATGCATAATCATTTGGCTTTAAGAAAGAGGACCAAAGCAGCAGTCCAGGTGGAAGCTGATTCCCTGAACTGCCTTTGTGCTGTCTTTGATCTTGTATTTCCCTTTATCATAACATTTGCAACCTAGAATTTAGTTACTGTTACTAGACTGTGAGCAACTTGAGGGCAAGTCTTTCATGTCCATGTTGTCAGTCCCCAGCATAGTACTTACTACATAGTACACATCAATAAACTTATGTTAAGTGAACAAATAAAGGAAATACTCATTCCATCTGCGCCTTTTAGTAAACTGATTAAGAAGAGCAAGAAGTTTTAACTCAAAGCCTTATTTTTTTCTCAAGTTTGTGGGAATGGGAGAAACTTCCAAAACACCTACCACTAAAGGTAGATCAAAGGAATCACAGAAAAGAGGGATTGCTCTCTTAACTGGTTGTTGAAACTTAGGCCTGCAGAGTCCCAGTCTTGACCTTCAACAGATTTATAGAATGCCATGGAGCAAATCTAACATCACATACATAGAATAATAAAGATGTTATGTTGCTTTCACTTTGAGATCCAGCCTTCCCCCAAATTTTTACTTTTTAGCCCAAAGGCATGGATGTCTACTGGAGAAGACTGTGTTAAATAAAGCAGCCAATTATTTTATTTTCTCATACTTGTGTGATGCTACTCATTAAGTTTGTCATTTATACAATGATCTAAACTGAGAGTGCATGCATAGCATTAATAAAATGTTTTATCCATTTTCTGCTTAATTTCTCTACTTAATTTTCTTGCCATTGCACATTTTGCTTAATTCAATTGGATGCATGGTTTCTTCTTTAGGTCTACACAAAATGACTGAGAGTTCCTCTGCAATTATAAGTAATCCTACAAAGAAAGGAATAAAGACTCAATTATGGAGTGCATTAAATATAAGCTGCACTGTGGATAGGAATACATCTCTCTCTACAAGTTCAGTGCAACATGAAGAAAGATGGGGATGCAATATAATAAGATTTCAACAGGCTTACATGGGGGAGCATTTTCCACATTTGTACAGTTTGAAATGCAGCAAGCTGTCTTAAACATAAAATACTTTTATAAAAAGGTGACTCTGATGCTGAAATTGTTTCTTTGCACAAAAAAAGTCACTGTTGTGTTTGGCAGACAATTGCTCATAGTCTAATTTTTGTTTATGTTTTAAATTTACTATTAATATTCAAAGAAATGAATATACACATAATTTTGTGCAATTTTCCATTTTTCTTCCTACCAACAATGTTTGGAATTAGTTCAATTCTGTATACATTGAAATGTCAGTTTTAAAATAACAAATACATAGAAAGCTCCCTCTAGGATAAAGAGAAGGCTGATTCTGTGACCATCATACATTACTTAATTTTTAGGTTTAGTTTTAATTTTCAACCTTCCACATGTTTCTTTTCCTTCACTTTCTGTTTATTTTTTTGTTACTCATAACTTCTTCTTACATTAATGTTTACCGATGGAGATAGCTGTCTAAATTTGACTAGAGCTAGAAGTTAGATTTTTCAAGCATATCTGATAAACAGGGATTAGTGTTTGAGTTGCTATGATTCAGCCAATATTGTTAGGTATTTCTATCTCTGTGAATGTACTAAATTCTGTAATGCTTAGATATTTGGTAAGAGCTATTTATAAGAAAATTTAGAAAAATAATGGCCAATAGATCACACTGCCAATTAATCATTTAGTTCTTAGGGAAGGGCAAAGCAAAGCAATCACATCAAATAAGCAGCACTGATTGTGCAAGAGGGAATAGCCTACAGAAGAACACTGACTTTTGATTATAAAAAAGTGAAAAAATTGCATTTGACATCTAAATATGTAGTTAACTTTACGGAGAGGGATTCCAGTGGTTTGCGAATAGTTATTACTAATTCAAACATATTTGTTCTTTTGACATCCTACTCCCTCAAGAATACAAGTACATAATTAATATGATAGCAACACACTTTGTTTAGATGAGGGTGAAAAAGCATGGTTTTACATCTTGTCTTATTATCTAGCAGCCACACTAACTTGATAAATACTTAGCAAAAGAATGTTCATCCTTTCCTAGCTTGATTGTTTCTATGCCTGTTCCTGTTATTGCCTTCATGAATGTTATTTCCAACTTGGAAAGAAACAAATAGAATAGTCTTTGAAGGAAGTAGGCCAACTGCTCATTAGAAAAAATAGTAAAATTAAGAAAAATAAAAGGTTTAGCTACGTGGAATCCAATCAGGGCTTTTTTTGGTCTTTTTTTTCTTTGCATTTTCTCCAGCTCATATTTTTAGTTACATTTTAGAAAATTTCTTAACTTTCCTTTGGCCACCCTTGGTTCCCATTCTATCACTTTCCACTTTTTCAATTGTATAACTAACTAAATGCTTCTTCACATGTTGACAAAGATGCCCTCCTTAACCAAGCTGTAGGCGGGCCCATTGGACATGTCTTTAAGAGCCAAGTGTTAGTGGGAATTGTCAAGTCAGTTGACCCAGAATTCCTCCTTCTCTTCATGTTTCCTTTTAGTAATTTTCTTTTCACCGACACACCCACTCTGCTCCATAGCTATAAATCCCCAGTTTCCCTGCTGTTCTGAAGTTGAGTCCAATTTCTCTTGCCTACTGCAAAATCCCCTTGCAGGAGTCCCTGTACATACCTCAATAGTCCTGAATAGTTTGCCTTACCATTTAACAAGAGTCAGAATAATATCTTTTTCGACAAAATCATAAAATGGATCTTCTTCCCTAGCTGTGGTAATGGCAGACTATTTGAGGAATTGTTTCAGGTAACTTTGCCTTGCCTGAGAGTCTTCTTCTTACCTCATGCTTCATCAAGCTCATTTGTTTCTGGTTCCGTGTCTATTATGGCATTTAAAATGAGGATAATTTAGCACAAAGTTTTCATTTAGTATTTTATTATAAAATGAATATATATTTGAACATTGTGCATTTTTTTAATATAGAAAAAAAAACACAAAAGGAAACAGACACATCGAAGGACCAAAAGCCTGAGAAAAACCTCCAGCTGTCCATTGGCATGCCTAGCTCAGTGATCTTTCAAAAGGCAAATTTGGTGAAAATCTTTATCTGTTGAGACCTTTGCCATAGATTTTTACAGCCCACAGGACAAAGTCCACATTGCTGACCGTGGCAAACTAAGCTCTGCATAACCTGGCTCCCTCCAAAGCATTCTAATAATCTCAAAAATCTAATGCAGTGGTTCTCAAACCTGAGAATATATACAAACCACTCTCACCTGAATCTCCTGAGGTTTTGTTTATTTATTTGTTTATTTTTATACCAAACCCTGGCTGGTGCATTCTAAAACTGTGACTGAATAGGTCTAAAATGAGGCCCTCAAAATTACATTTTTAAATCCCACAGTTTACCCTGTGGGATTCTGGTGCAGGTGGCTGTCAGGCAAGTCTGAAAAATATTTCTCTAGGCACCAAGTTTACACGATTGTCTCTATTTTACTACCCTGTGATGCATATGTGCTATTTTCACTATGCAAAATGCATTACTCATCTTTTCAAACAGCAAATTCTTAATAATCCTTCAAAACTTAAGCATAAAGAAAAATTATTTGATGGTAGGGAGAACAAACAACAACAAAACTTTCCTTATCATATCAACCCACTGTTTTAAACTCCAGTGTTTATTATTCTTTCTGTATTCCAGCTTTCAATTAAAAACCTAGAATAAAAACAAAGGCAATATTTCTACTAAGAACACCGATTTTTTAAAACAATCTATCTTCTTGAATTTACACATCTCTACAACCCCCAGGCTATGGACTGGTACTGATGTGAGGCCTATTAGGAACTGGGCCACACAGCAGGAGGTGAGCGGCATGTAAGGGGAGCATTACCACCTGAGCTCTGCCTCCTGTCAGGTGGCATTAGATTCTCACAGGAGTGTGAATTGTGAACTGTGCATGGGAGGGATCTAGCCTGCGCATTCGTTAGGAAAATCTAATGCCTGATGCTGTGAGGTGGAACAGTTTCATCCCAAAATCATCTCCCTGCCCTCCCACCCCCACATCCATGGAAAAATTGTGTTCAACAAAATTGACCCCTTGTACCAAAGTGGTTGGGGACTGCTGCTGTGTCAGGCATTATGGAGGACAAAATCGTGAAAAAAATTCAAAGCCTCAGGATGCTCATTACCAAAGGCTAAGACAAAATACACATTAGAGAACAATAATATATATATATATATATATATATATATATATATATATATATAAAATTAAGGGCCAAGGATTAGATTATACATCTGTATTAGTCAGGGTTCTCCAAAGAAACAGAACCAATAGGATATGTGTATGTGTATGCAAATAGAGACAGATAGTAGGTACGTAGGTAGGTATATAGATAGATAGAGAGAGAGAGAGAGAGAGAGAGAGAGAGAGATACAGAGAGAGGGAGATTTTAAGGAATTGGCTCATATGATTATGGAAATTGGCAATCCAAAATCCACAGGGTAGACCAGCAGGTTAAAAATCCAGGGAAGAGTTGCAGTTTGAATCAAAAGACCATTTTCTGGTAGAATTCCTTCTTGTTCAAGGAAGGTCAGTCTTTGTTCTATTAAGGCCTTCAACTACTTAGATATGGGTATTCAAATTATGAAGGATAACCTGCTTTACTCAAAGTTTACTCATCTGAATGTTAATCTTATCTAAAAAAGGCCTTCACGAATACATTTAGAATAATGTTTGACTATCTGGATCATGTGACCTAATCAAATTAACACAAACTGGCTTTTTGGGGGAGGAACCAAGATGGCCAAATAGGAACAGCTCCAGTCTACAGCTCCCAGCGTGAGCGATGTAGAAGACAGTGATTTCTGCATTTCCATCTGAGGTACGGGGTTCATCTCACTAGGGAGTGCCAGATAGCGGGCGCAGGTCAGTGGGTGCGCGCACCGTGTGCGAGCCGAAGCAGGGCGAGGCATTGCCTCCCTTGGGAAGCACAAGGGGTCAGGGAGTTCCCTTTCCGAGTCAAAGAAAGGGGTGACGGACGACACCTGGAAAATCGAGTCACTCCCACCCGAATACTGCGCTTTTCCGATGGGCTTGAAAAACAGCACACCACGAGATTATATCCCACACCTGGCTCAGAGGGTCCTACGCCCACGGAATCTCGCTGATTGCTAGCACAGCAGTCTGAGATCAAACTGCAAGGCGAAAGCGAGGCTGGGGGAGGGGCGCCTGCCATTGCCCAGGCTTGATTAGGTAGACAAAGCAGCTCCAACTGGGTGGAGCCCACCACAGCTCAAGGAGGCCTGCCTGCCTCTGTAGGCTCCACCTCTGGGGGCAGGGCACAGACAAACAAAAAGACAGCAGTAACCGCTGCAGACTTAAATGTCCCTGTCTGACAGCTTTGAAGAGAGCAGTGGTTCTCCCAGCACGCAGCTGGAGATCTGAGAAGGGGCAGACTGCCTCCTCAAGTGGGTCCCTGACCCCTGACCCCCGAGCAGCCTAACTGGGAGGCACCCCCCAGCAGGGGCACACTGACACCTCACAAGGCAGGGTATTCCAACAGACCTGCAGCTGAGGGTCCTGTCTATTAGAAGGAAAACTAACAAACAGAAAGGACATCCACACCAAAAACCCATCTCTACATCACCATCATCAAAGACCAAAAGTAGATAAAACCACAAAGATGGGGAAAAAACAGAACAGAAAAACTGGAAACTCTAAAAAGCAGAGTGCCTCTCCTCCTCCAAAGGAATGCAGTTCCTCACCAGCAACAGAACAAAGCTGGATGGAGAATGACTTTGACGAGGTGAGAGAAGAAGGTTTCAGACGATCAAATTACTCTGCGCTACGGGAGGACATTCAAACCAAAGGCAAAGAAGTTGAAAACTCTGAAAAAAATTTAGAAGAATGTATAACTAGAATAACCAATACAGAGAAGTGCTTAAAGGAGCTGATGGAGCTGAAAACCAAGGCTCGAGAACTACGTGAAGAATGCAGAAGCCTCAGGAGCCGATGCGATCAACTGGAGGAAAGGGTATCAGCGATGGAAGATGAAATGAATGAAATGAAGCGAGAAGGGAAGTTTAGAGAAAAAAGAATAAAAAGAAATGAGCAAAGCCTCCAAGAAATATGGGACTATGTGAAAAGACCAAATCTACATCTGACTGGGGTACCTGAAAGCAATGGGGAGAATGGAACCAAGTTGGAAAACATACTACAGCATATTATCCAGGAGAACTTCCCCAATCTAGCAAGGCAGGCCAACGTTCAGATTCAGGAAATACAGAGAACACCACAAAGATACTCCTCGAGAAGAGCAACTCCAAGACACATAATTGTCAGATTCACCAAAGTTGAAATGAAGGAAAAAATGTTAAGGGCAGCCAGAGAGAAAGGTCGGGTTACCCTCAAAGGGAAGCCCATCAGACTAACAGCGGATCTCTCGGCAGAAACCCTACAAGCCAGAAGAGAGTGGGGGCCAATATTCAACATTCTTAAAGAAAAGAATTTTCAACCCAGAATTTCATATCCAGCCAAACTAAGCTTCATAAGCGAAGGAGAAATAAAATACTTTACAGATAAGCAAATGCTGAGAGATTTTGTCACCACCAGGCCTGCCCTAAAAGAGCTCCTGAAGGAAGCACTAAACATGGAAAGGAACAACCGGTACCAGCTGCTGCAAAATCATGCCAAAATGTAAAGACCATCCAGACTAGGAAGAAACTGCATCAACTAACGAGCAAAATAACCAGCTAACATCATAATGACAGGATCAAATTCACACATAACAATATTAACTTTAAATGTAAATGGACTAAATGCTCCAATTAAAAGACACAGACTGGCAAATTGGATAAAGAGTCAAGACCCATCAGTGTGCTGTATTCAGGAAACCCATCTCACATGCAGAGATACACATAGGCTCAAAATAAAAGGATGGAGGAAGATCTACCAAGCC
The DNA here is from genome assembly GCF_000001405.40 of Homo sapiens. Classification (NCBI taxonomy): domain Eukaryota; kingdom Metazoa; phylum Chordata; class Mammalia; order Primates; family Hominidae; genus Homo; species Homo sapiens. Next base: position 37,244,543 of record NC_000011.10, on the reverse strand, counting down.
AATGGAAAATAAAAAAAGGCAGAGGTTGCAATCCTAGTCTCTGATAAAACAGACTTTAAACCAACAAAGATCAAAAGAGACAAAGAAGGCCATTACATAATGGTAAAGGGATCAATTCAACAAGAAGAGCTAACTATCCTAAATATATATGCACCCAATACAGGAGCACCCAGATTCATAAAGCAAGTCCTGAGCAACCTACAAAGAGACTTAGACTCCCACACAATAATAATGGGAGACTTTAACACCCCACTGTCAACATTAAACAGATCAATGAGACAGAAAGTTAATAAGGATACCCAGGAATTGAACTCAGCTCTGCACCAAGTGGACCTAATAGACATCTACAGAACTCTCCACCCCAAATCAACAGAATATACATTTTTTTCAGCACCACACCACACCTATTCCAAAATTGACCACATACTTGGAAGTAAAGCTCTCCTCAGCAAATGTAAAAGAACAGAGATTATAACAAACTATCTCTCAGACCACAGTGCAATCAAACTAGAACTCAGGATTGAGAATCTCACTCAAAAACGCTCAACTACATGGAAACTGAACAACCTGCTCCTGAATGACTACTGGGTACATAACGAAATGAAGGCAGAAATAAAGATGTTCTTTGAAACCAATGAGAACAAAGACACAACATACCAGAATCTCTGGGACACATTCAAAGCAGTGTGTAGAGGGAAATGCATAGCACTAAATGCCCACAAGAGAAAGCAGGAAAGATCCAAAATTGACACCCTAACATCACAATGAAAAGAACTAGAAAAGCAAGAGCAAACACATTCAAAAGCTAGCAGAAGGCAAGAAATAACTAAAATCAGAGCAGAACTGAAGGAAATAGAGACACAAAAAACCCTTCAAAAAATTAATGAATACAGGAGCTGGTTTTTTGAAAGGATCAACAAAATTGGTAGACCGCTAGCAAGACTAATAAAGAAAAAAAGAGAGAAGAATCAAATAGACACAATAAAAAATGATAAAGGGGATATCACCACCGATCCCACAGAAATACAAACTACCATCAGAGAATACTGCAAACACCTCTACGCAAATAAACTAGAAAATCTAGAAGAAATGGATAAATTCCTCGACACATACACTCTCCCAAGACTAAACCAGGAAGAAGTTGAATCTCTGAATAGACCAATAACAGGCTCTGAAATTGTGGCAATAATCAATAGCTTACCAACCAAAAACAGTCCAGGACCAGATGGATTCACAGCCGAATTCTACCAGAGGTACAAGGAGGAACTGGTACCATTCCTTCTGAAACTATTCCAATCAATAGAAAAAGAGGGAATCCTCCCTAACTCTTTTTATGAGGCCAGCATCATTCTGATACCAAAGCCAGGCAGAGACACAACCAAAAAAGAGAATTTTAGACCAATATCCTTGATGAACATTGATGCAAAAATCCTCAATAAAATACTGGCAAAACGAATCCAGCAGCACATCAAAAAGCTTATCCACCATGATCAAGTGGGCTTCATCCCTGGGATGCAAGGCTGGTTCAATATATGCAAATCAATAAATGTAATCCAGCATATAAACAGAGCCAAAGACAAAAACCACATGATTATCTCAATAGATGCAGAAAAGGCCTTTGACAAAATTCAACAACTCTTCATGCTAAAAACTCTCAATAAATTAGGTATTGATGGGACGTATTTCAAAATAATAAGAGCTCTCTATGACAAACCCACAGCCAATATCATACTGAATGGGAAAAACTGGAAGCATTCCCTTTGAAAACTGGCACAAGACAGGGATGCCCTCTCTCAGCACTCCTATTCAACATAGTGTTGGAAGTTCTGGCCAGGGCAATTAGGCAGGAGAAGGAAATAAAGGGTATTCAATTAGGAAAAGAGGAAGTCAAATTGTCCCTGTTTGCAGACGACATGATTGTATATCTAGAAAACCCCATTGTCTCAGCCCAAAATCTCCTTAAGCTGATAAGCAACTTCAGCAAAGTCTCCGGATACAAAATCAATGTACAAAAATCACAAGCATTCTTATACACAAACAACAGACAAACAGAGAGCCAAATCATGAGTGAACTCTCATTCACAATTGCTTCAAAGAGAATAAAATACCTAGGAATCCAACTTACAAGGGATGTGAAGGACCTCTTCAAGGAGAACTACAAACCACTGCTCAAGGAAATAAAAGAGGATACAAACAAATGGAAGAACATTCCATGCTCATGGGTAGGAAGAATCAATATCGTGAAAATGGGAATGTAATTTACAGATTCAATGCCATCTTCATCAAGCTACCAATGCCTTTCTTCACAGAATTGGAAAAAACTACTTTAAAGTTCATATGGAACCAAAAAAGAGCCCACATCGCCAAGTCAATCCTAAGCCAAAAGAACAAAGCTGGAGGCATCACACTACCTGACTTCAAACTATACTACAAGGCTACAGTAACCAAAACAGCATGGTACTGGTACCAAAACAGAGATATAGATCAATGGAACAGAACAGAGCCCTCAGAAATAATGCCACATATCTACAACTATCTGATCTTTGACAAACCTGAGAAAAACAAGCAATGGGGAAAGGATTCCCTGTTTAATAAATGGTGCTGGGAAAACTGGATAGCCATATGTAGAAAGCTGAAACTGGATCCCTTCCTTACACCTTATACAAAAATCAATTCAAGATGGATTAAAGACTTAAACGTTAGACCTAAAACCATAAAAACCCTAGAAGAAAACCTAGGCTTTACCATTCAGGACATAGGCATGGGCAAGGACTTCATGTCTAAAACACCAAAAGCAATGGCAACAAAAGACAAAATTGACAAATGGGATCTCATTAAACTAAAGAGCTTCTGCACAGCAAAAGAAACTACCATCAGAGTGAACAGGCAACCTACAAAATGGGAGAAATTTTTTGCAACCTACTAATCTGACAAAGGGCTAATATCCAGAATCTACAATGAACTCAAACAAATTTACAAGAAAAAAACAAACAACCCCATCAAAAAGTGGGTGAAGGACATGAACAGACACTTCTCAAAAGAAGACATTTATGCAGCCAAAAAACACATGAAAAAATGCTCATCATCACTGGCCATCAGAGAAATGCAAATCAAAACCACAATGAGATGCCATCTCACACCAGTTAGAATGGCAATCATTAAAAAGTCAGGAAACAACAGGTGCTGGAGAGGATGTGGAGAAATAGGAACACTTTTACACTGTTGGTGGGACTGTAAACTAGTTCAACCATTGTGGAAGTCAGTGTGGCGATTCCTCAGGGATCTAGAACTGGAAGTACCATTTGATCCAGCCATCCCATTACTGGGTATATACCCAAAGGACTATAAATCATGCTGCTATAAGGACACATGCACACGTATGTTTATTGCGGCATTATTCACAATAGCAAAGACTTGGAACCAACCCAAATGTCCATCAATGATAGACTGGATTAAGAAAATGTGGCACATATACACCATGGAATATTATGCAGCCATAAAAAAGGATGAGTTCATGTCCTTTGTAGGGACATGGATGAAATTGGAAGTCATCATTCTCTGTAAACTATCGCAAGAACAAAAAACCAAACACCGCATATTCTCACTCATAGGTGGGAATTGAACAATGAAATCACATGGACACAGGAAGGGGAATATCACACTCTGGGGATGTTGTGGGGTGCGGGGAGGGGGTACGGATAGCATTGGGAGTTATACCTAATGCTAGATGACGAGTTGGTGGGTTCAGCGCACCAGCATGGCACATGTATACATATGTAACTAACCTGCACAATGTGCACATGTACCCTAAAACTTTAATAAAAAAAAAAATTAACACAAACTAACCACTACAGCATCAGAATTGAAATTTAGGATTTTCTGTGGATTGACAGATTGATTAATTCATAAAAATTCACATCTATTAAAAGTGAGGCATAGTATGAAATGCTATCCTTTTGTTTTAGACCAAAATCTTTAGAGCTAACCCCTCCAGAGAACTTTAATAGTAGTTCATGGAATTCTTATTGAGCAAATGATATGATTCAGAGTTTAGCAAAGGAAGAAACCAATATATTAGGTAGACTTACCAAAAATTTCAAAATGTATAAAAGTGGAAGGTGAATCAAAAATATAGAATCTCTCCTTCCAACACTTAACAAGAGAAAACGCTAAAGACAAATAGAGCAAAAATAAATTATCCAGCAATAGCTGAACAAAGAAAAATTTGAAAATCTGTATCCAGCTAGAGAGTTGGAATATTATCCGAAGTAAGGTTCGATCGACCTTTTAACTATTTCCCCACGATAGCCCCAAACTGCCAAAAGTAGAAATTAAAATAGAATTAAATAAAATTCTGAAAACTTTCACTAATAAATTCTATATTGGGAAAGGTGGACCAAGGCATCAGTAGATAACCTTACACATAGTCAAGAAAATACATTCACACCAAGACCTCGATACAACGAGAAAAGCAACCAGAGTTTGTCATCTTCCAGGGACGTATGCTGAGTTAAAATAACACTGCAAGATAAAATGCAGAAGACCTAGTTAAATTTTAATTGCAGATTAACAACAAATATATAAATATACAAAAGCAGACACATACATACATATATATGTCTGCATGTGTGTGTATGTATGTATACACACACTTAACCAGAGAAAAAGTCAAAGACAAATAGAGCAAAAAATAAATTATTCAGCAATAGCTGAACAGACATTAGTATATGTTCTGAACATTACAAGGGGCATATTTATACTAAAATATATATTGGATGTTTATATGAAGTTAAAATTTAACTGCTCACCCTATGTTTTTATTTGCTAAATCTGGCAACTGTTGGTTGGAGCCACCAGCTGATGGCCACTGGAGTGAAAAGCATCTCTGGATGAGTAAAGAATCCTGGAACAGGATTTGTGACAGAATCTATCCTAGTTGAGTTGCTTCATTCTCCCATTTTCGTACCTATAAGCCAGAGAGAAATGTTTGAAAAGCAATACCAATAACTCAAACTGTAGCTCAAACCACCAAACAGAAATTGATACTTTTAAAAAAAAGGAAGGTAAAGTACAATAAGAAAAGGTATCTGAGATTATATCAGGGCAAACTGAAGATCTGGAGATGTCCATATTAAAGTTTGGTGGGAAGAAAAGATAGGACATGGCAACCAAACAAATATACCAGATGTGGATGGTGAGATGAGGAATAAGGTCTGGTGGGGATTTGTGAGGAAAGGAGGAAAGAGGGAAAAAAGAAGGCAAAGAATGAGAAGGAGAAGTAGAAGAGGGGAGAAGAAAGAGGATATGGAAAGGAGGAAGGAAAGGAAGAGAAGGGAAATATAAATGAAGGACTTATTAGGCGTTGGGTGGTGCCTAGCCCAAGGAACGGAAGCACACTCACTACAAAAGCTAAGATTCTAGAAGAACTTTAGAATAATGATATTTCAATAAAAGACTTAAAGTTCAAAAAGACATCAAAGATGACTTAATTATAAGAACAGAATTCATTAAAGTTGAGATAAGAAAATATTCAAAGTAACGCAATTATAGAACTAATAAATAAATTAGAAAAGCTCAAACTGGCATGTCTGAAAATGCAATTACTGTTATAGATAAAAGGCTTGATATGAACATAGTGTTTGCAGAGAAACAAGACAAAGATTAAAGCAATTACAAAAGACATTATACACATGCAGGACAAAGACCTCTGTGTACGTGGGTGTTTGTGCGCATGTGTCTTTATTGCAGAAAATCATTCCTTAAATGAGGAATTCAGTGTGTTACATAAAAAAGCAGGCAGGCCAGGTGCAGTGGCTCATGTCTGTAATCCCAGTATTTTGAAAGCCCAAGGCTGGAGAATCACTTTAGGCCAGGTGTTTGAGACCAGACTAGTCAACATAGCAAGACCCAATCTCTACTAAAAAAAAAAAAAAAAAAAAAAAACATTGATTTTAATTATCCAGGTGTGGCATTGCATGCTGGTAGTTCCAGCTACTTGGGAGGCTGAGGGAGGACTGTTTAAGCATAGGAGGTCAAGGCTGCATCGAGTCCTATGATGACACCACTGCACTCCAGCCAGGGCGATAGAATGAGACCCTATTTCCAAAAATAAAGAATATGCAATATAATTGAAAAATAATTGGTAATTAACACACATAAAATATATACTAGGTGCATTATCAAACTTCATAAATAAAGGACATGATTCTTCAAGAGCATAAGCAAGGAAAGCAAATTACTGGCAAGAAGAGAAAGCAGACTGGCTTCAGGCTTCTCTACAACCACATTCAGTGATATAAAAAAAAAGGAGTTATGAACACAAGCTTCTGGGAGGAGAAAAAACCTCTCACCCAAAAATATTCTACCCACACAACTTATCATTCAACTACAAAGGTATCAGACAATGCATCTCAAATATGATAGAACTCTAGAACTATAGCACCCATGAACTGTTTTTTTAGAAAAAAAATTGATACAATCCAGCTAACCAACGGATCAATAAAAATAAAATGTAAGGAATAAAAATTACAATAAAATGTCTGGTGGTTAACATTAAATCCAGTAAATGTTTTCTTGTGACTGAACATCTGGGGAATTGTAGTTGCAGGACAGATGGTAAATTTTGTAAACTTTAACAGTTTAAAACATAACTAATAAATACTGGAAGGTTTGGGGTGGAGAAAAAGGAGAAAGTATGAGAATGCTTATTTTCCTTCTCCCAAAGTAAAGAATTCATTGATGCTACCTCAAGCTAAAAGTTGTAGTTAGAAATCACAATGATTAAAACCACTTAGTAAAATTAATCTTTTTGGAAAGAAAAATTAGCCCAGCTTCATTAATCTCAATGCTATTTCTTTTTTTTCTGCCAAATTCAAGTAAACTTAAACTTAACATTTTAATTTTAAAAATATTATTATCTACATTTTAATATGTATTTCTATATGCACGTATATAAAGAGACATATCTGGAAGGCTATAAAACAAATATTAAAACTGGTAAGATTTTAGACAATTTTTAGTTTTATAATTTTGTGTATAGCTTGAATTTTCTCTTATGATGACCCTATGTAATTTTGATAGGAAAAAACAAAATTGTAGTGACATGTTTTATAGGCTGGTAGAAATATTTCTTGTGTTTGGGATTTTTTGTTTGTTTTCTGTCTTTTATTTTTAATTTTATCAGTTCAAATACTATAGAAATGTCTTGAGAGAAAATTATTGCATTTGTTTCACTATGGGAAATATTTTGTCCTCATTGTAGCATCCATACTAGAGCAAATGAATGAAAGGATATGCAATGGCAGAAAATAGTGTTGAGTAACATTTTGTAAAGAAATCTCTGATCTAGATTGTTTTATAATAAACTATACGGCCACTCTTACTCTTCCCATTCACATGTTGACCCTGGACATCAAGGTTCTGGACACAGCTGTTGCTTAATAAGTATCTTTTGGGTTTTTCTGTGCAATAACTTCAAAGGCTTTTGTCTTATGGACAGGTTATTGAGTACCAGTCAACTAAAGTCAGTAAATTTGTATTAAGAGCTGTACTCTCTCCTAGATGTTGTTTTTTTTTACCTCGTGAAAATGTACACAAACCAAATGTGCAACTGCTCAAGAAACAATCCGTAAGATTACACTCAGGTAGGAAGAGCTCTGTGCCAAATGGCCTGAAGATCAGTATGCAACCCCCATCAGTTTTTGGCAAGATCTTTTTATATATTTCCAGTATTTCAAATGGTTCTTTTTATTTTATGGTTTTTTTCACATAAAGATTTCACATAAGATTAAAGCTAACATCCACCACATTCAACATGCCCAATGTTTTCCTTCTTTATTTCAATCATAGTACTGTTAATATTAGCTGTTTGATTTTCTTTTCCATTTTCCCTTCACTTTAATAAAACAAAGCAAGATGCAATAAACATTAATGTAATGTAACCAACACAGCTGAAATTGAACAATTGATCTATTTTGCATGAGTCAATACATAAAAGTCAAAAAGTTTCAATATAGAAAATGAAAATGCCAGGCATGATGGCCTGTAATACCACCACTTTGGGAGGTTTAGGTAGGAGGATCACTTGAGGGGCAGGAGTTCAAGACCAGCCCATGCAACAAAGCAAGACTCCATCTGTATGAGATATAAAATAAAATTAGCTGGGTCTGGTGGCATGTGCCTATAGTCTCAGCTATGCAGGAGACTGAGGCAGGAGGATCACTTGAATCCAAGAGTTTGAGGTTACAGTAAGCTGATCGTGCCACTGCCCGCAAGCCTGGATGACAGAGGATGACAGAGTGAGACACAGCCCCTCCCCACAAAAAAAAAAAAGTGCTAAGTGTACAAGTCAAATAAATGTTCACCATTCAAGGACCAACTCTAACCTGAAGAGCATCAGAATGCTTTAAGACTCCTTTAAATTTGTTGAGATAGGGATTTTGAAAATTTGATCACAGGCAAAGAGGAAAAAAATTGTCAATAAATCATTACAGCTGTAGAAAGGGAGAGTGTTGGCCAGAGACCCAAACATAACCAACAAGCCAAATGTAGTGGAATAGTTTCAAAAAGTGCTTACTCTAAACTGAATATGAAACACAGGGAATGACAGAGCTGTGACTGAAACCTAGGCAAATTTAAATAAATGCTTCAGTCCCTGGAAAATATGCCTAGAGCAGTTACAATAGCACTTTAGCTAGAGAATGTGATAAACATCTCCTCCTCCACTCCACAGGACTATCCTTCTTTAAATATGAGGATGAACATTTGCAGAGAAACGTTATCATAAATATTTCTGGTATTGTTACTAACTAGAAAAATGTAATCCTCTATTTGGATTCTCACAACTGTAGAAATCATTATGTCTTCAGAAAAGGAAGGTAAAAAATAAACCTTCATCTCAAAAGAAGTATTATTTTCATGCAAATATCCCTAGTAATATAACAGAAGGAAGAGAAAGTGGGAATATGGTAAATACATATAGTCAATTGTCTGGAAAGAAATTGTCTGTGAAAAGCCAATAAGTATTTTGCAAATTCTTGTTTCATGGCAAGAAAGATAAGGTAAATGAGGCACTTATACACAGACATGGCCATTATTTGGCACATTTAGAGAAAATCTTGATATTAATTTTTTATTTTATTATATTTGAAATATTTAACTTCCTAATACTTATCAGAGCACATTTTATTTTCATTTCAACTTATGGCTTTCATTATGTGCTTTGAATTCAGACCACCTGAGATTGCATCTTTGTGAAATACTTAGAAGTCTTAGGCCTAGGGCTTGCAGTGAGCCGAGATCATGCCACTGCACTCCAGCCTGGGCGACAGAGTGAGACTTCGTCTCAAAAAAAAAAAAAAAAAGAAGTTTTAGGCCTTAGGAAAAATTCCATGAAGTTCAGTGCTTCAGTCTCCTTGTTTGTAAAATGGGAATAATAACAGTATCATTCTCATAAGATTGTAATAAAGGTTAAATAAAACAATAAAAAGCACTGAGAATGATGCTCAGCTCATAGTACATGTTCAATGAAGGTTGGCTACTATTACAATGGATTTATCTACCAAACAACTACAGTTGTCTACACTTATGTGCTAGACAAAGATCTAAGTGTTACAGTAGATAGGCAGATGTGAGCAGGGCAGGAGAGGACCCACCTACCAGGAATTTCAGGCGACCATCAGGTACTGGTTAGGTGGTTGTTAGCTGTCTCTCTAAAATAATAACGGTCACAGCCAACATCAGAGAAAGGCAGTTTCCCAATAGATAGAAACACCTACCTGAAACTGGTGATCAGCAGCTTCCCAATAAGATCTCAGGAGTAGGGCAAGTGGGCTCAAGCATGTGCATTGAGAGGCAAAATGGCAGAGTTTAACTGGTATATGACTTTTCAAAGACATCCCACTAGTAAAGGGAAGAATGCATCAGGTGAGCATGCATAAAACTCCAGTAAACACACTGCGCATGCTCACCTCCCAAGTGATAGCAGGCCACTGCACATGTAGGCAGCCCACTGAAAGGGAAAAATCAAGGGAAAAGGGATGCAAGATTCCAGATGTATGCCAACATATAAAACCACAAGTCAAAAGGGGAAACCCTACATTTGTCCTCCAAGATGCCCACTTGGCCCTCTTCCAAGTGTACTTTACTTTCTCTTCATTCCTGCTCTAAAGCTTTTTAATAAACTTTCACTCTTACTCTAAACCTTGTCTTGATCTCTCCTTCTGCCTTTTGTCCTCAGTTGAATTCTTTCTTCTAGGGACACAAGAATTGAGCTTGCTGTAGAACTGTACAGATTTGTTGCCAGTAACTTGAATACCCACCACCAAAAATATAAGTGCTTTACATATAGTAACTCACTAAATCCTCCCATAGCCTATAAATTAGTTTTTATAATTATTTTCCCCATTTAACAGCAGAGGAAACTGGGTAGGTGAAAGGTTAAATAGATTTTTCAGAGCCTGTGTTCTTAACCATCAAGTTGACCGCCTTTGCAAAAATTATATCATTGAGAAAATTATGATAATGAAAGAGATGTGAACTAATCCACCTACCATCTTGCCTTTCCCTTAATTATTCCTGGGCTATTGGGCTAAGTTCGAGAGACAAAATAGGCCTCCCCCAAAACTCAACTGCCTTTATAAAGCTAATGGGAGGCCACCAGTCTTGGAGAAAAGAAGCCTATGTCCTGCTAAGGCGCAGACATAAGTGATTGCCAGCAACTATCCCAGAGGTTATAAGATATGCAATTTCCCCAATTACTCCTTCAAACAACACCACTCTTGCAGATTGGCCTTTTGAGATGGCTTTTCAGGTTTTTCGAATGTCTGACATCCACAGTTCTACCTGGACCTGCCAACCACACTCCTGCAGCCCCACTCAGAGGTAATTCAGCCCACAGAAGGACAGCTTCAACCTGCTATGCCTTTGAATAATCCTTAACCTACTAGCTTCAAAGGATATAATTTGAGTACTAACTCCAACTCCCACACGGTGTGGCCAGCCTTGTGTCTATTAAACTCTTTCTTTACTGCAATGCTGTGGTCTTTCTTTATGCAGTGAGAAGGAAGAACGCCTCGGACAGTTACAAATTGATTCTCAACTTCAGCTGTACCACTAGAATCACTTGGGGAACTTTCAATAGTTCTGATTCTTGGTTGTACCCTAATTCAATTAAATTGGAATCTCTACGAATGGCCTCAGTAGTTTTTAAAACTCCTGAATCGTGGCAGTGGGCTACTCTATATAACACATGCCTTTCAGAATGAAAAATCAGAAAGACACTTAAAGTAAAAGAAGAAAACCTGATAAAGCAGACTCTTCTCACAGCTATTCCAGGTTCTCGTTACAACAGCGAGACCCAGAAGTCCGATGTGTCTACAAATGAAATGAAGTAAATAAGACCCAGCAGCAATTGCTTAATAAAGCAATGGTAGACAATATACTTACCTTTGTTATGATTAATGGCCTCAGTAGGAAGGAACCATTAGCAATTCCATTAGTCAGTGTTCTGTTCACTCTTGCTCTGTGGACCATAACCATGGGTTAGCTTAAGAAATAATAAACTATTCTTGTCAGCATGTAATCCTGATTTCTTGTTATATGAGGCAAAATCATTTGAAATGAGAAACTATGTTTATTCACAGCTACATGTAGTGTAATCAAGACAGAACACATTTAAATGAATCAATAGCACTATAACAGACAAAATGATTCCTGATTAATACACTTATTAATTTTCTCTCTTCACTTCGGGGAAGGGTCCTCTCTAAACCTAGAGAAGAGGAGTGTCCTTCTCTTCATCCTGAAGATTAACAGAACACAGAGAGAAATCTGAACAAACAGATGTTGCTAAGTTTCTCCATTTTATTTCATTTAACTCAAACCCTTTTTGCTGTGATTTCTCCATGACTCTCCACTCTTCAGAAAACCTAGCATAAAAACACTAAGGTTCAAGTGCTTCTTCAGGTCTTTATTTCCTGATGAAGGCTCCTGTATTAAGCTGTTCTCATATTGCTATAAAGAAATACCTGAGACTGGGTAATTTAAAAGAAAACTGGCTTAATTGACTCATTGTTCTGCAAGCTCTACAGGAAGCATAGCAGCTTCTGCTTCTGGGGATTTCCTTAGGACACTTATAATCAAGGTGGAAGGTGAAGGAGAAGCAAGCATGTCTTACATGGCTGGACAGGAGAAAGAGAGGGAAGGGAGAGGTGCCACACACTTTTAAACAACCAGATCTTGTGAGAACTCACTCACTATACAGTACCAAGGGAGGATGGTACTAAATCGTTCATGAGAACTCTGCCCCCATTATCCAATCTCCTCCCACCAGGCCCCTCCTCCAACACTGGGGTTTACGATTCAACATGAGATTTAAGTAGGGAGAAAGAACCAAACCATATCAGCTCCCATGTCAGGTAAAACTTGAATTACATAAACGTGCATGCTTTTTCTTATTAATTTTTCTTTTGTTATAAAGGCCCCAGTCAACAAACCTAAAAGTGGTAGAAGAGCAAGATACCTTTCCTCCCCTATGCTTCCAAGACATCCTTGCTCATTTATGCTCCTCCAATATCATCTACATGCTACAAGAAATATGCTAAAACATATTTTTATGCTACTAGGGAAGAGCGAGCATTTATGTGAAAGTACTAGCTTACATTATAAACAAAGAATCTTTTTTATGATAACACAGTGGTACTGGGAATAGTATGTATTGCTTCATAATTGTTGCCAAAGCTTCTCCTAGGAGTTTGGTGCAAGGCAATGAAGAATAAATAAACTATATTTTAAAAGAAAAAAATGTTTTAAGTTAAATTTTATACCCAAGTCTTTTTCTACTCCTTCTTGCCTCCGATATTCCTTAATACCTGAGGATCCTTATAATTAGAAGGAATCTCCATTCAAATTTAATTATAGATGAAATAACTATGTGTTAATCTACTTAACTTCATAAATTCTAAGTGCTGAAAACCATGGAATGTTAGAGATAGAAATAAAATAGCATACAGCTGTAAGTGTCTATTTAGGGCCATCTGGGTTTTCATTCAAAATATATCCATTATCTAGTCCCTCACACCTGCTATGCTCCCTTAAAGCCTCATGAATTCACACTGAAGTGAAGAGAGAAAACATTTTCTTCCAACCTTTTCTTTGTCCTATAATTCTTCCGTAAAGTTATGTTCCACACAGTGTCTTTGATACTACATAATGACAAACTTCTGGAATTCTTTCTTTACTTACTAAGATTCAAAGCCTAAAATATTTTTTTATCATCATCCTATAACCTTTATGAGTTGCTCATAGTGGAAGATCACTGAAGGGATTAGAAGACAAATCTTATCTCAGCTGCTTCCCGTATTTGACCAAGGCAGATTCTCCTTAAAATACTGCTACCATTAATGCCACTCCTATAAGGAAGTTTCCAGTTTGGAAGAAGATTGATCCCTAGCATGTTGTAATTCACCTGTCCAGCTCTAGGGGAGCATCTAGCTAGGGAGACTACCCTTAACATCAGGATGAAAAGGCCCAAGAGAACTTTAGTAATTTCCAGTTGAAGTCCTAACTCTATCCCCTTTTGTGAAACTAATATATAAACTCTTACCTTAGGCTATTCTTCCAGTTACTTGCTGACAAATACTCCAACATAGGTAATGCATTTTTCTCCTGTGAATCTGTCTATTATCAGTTAATTCACATCCCCCAAACACTTGGACCTAGGTGGGTAAATGAAAAGTTATTTCTCCAAGTGTCAAAATTCCACACATACTCTTGAAACTCATAGATGTTTCTGAGGGAAAAAAAAATCAGAGACAAGTAGATAATTTTTTAAAGATTTCTCTAAACACTACAAGGAGCTTATGAATTTCCCCCAAATACTTGGATTCTCCTATTGTGGAAGTTTAAGTCATAGCCCAGAGTATATGTAGATATAGCTAATCCTAGGAGGATTTGATATATATCACTGTTTCAACTGAGAATTTGTTTCAACCACAAATTAAGTCCCGAGGAACTGGAGGACAAGTAAAAGAGGAAATTGTTAAATTCATTTGTTTGCCTTGAGAGAACAGAAACGTGCTCCTTGAAAGTTAAGGATTCACGTGACAGCCAATTGAAGTTTCCATGTTTCAAGCAGCCCACATTCTAGGCTTAGATGAAGATGATTTAGATTTTGAGTTGGACCAAATGAGTTTAAGCCAATTAATGCAATCTAGTTATTGTTACCAACAAACAAATGATATAATATGTCCCAAATATTGTATGGGACATCCTAATATGTCCCATCATTGCTTCTCTAAAATTCAAATTTAAGAGGACATCCTGTATTTTATTTAGAAGTCTTATTTTTAATTTCTCTAGAGCACAAAACAGGATTGAGAGTTACTACAACACAGTGTCTACACTCTCCATTTATAATATCCTTTTTATTCTTTGTTGTTTGGATTGTTTCTTTTTGGGGAAAAGAGTAAACAACAGGATATGAACAAACATTTAGTAACAGTGCTTTACTGGGCAAAAATAAGTCTCTATATCTAACTATACATAAATCACTGCCAAATAAAAATACAGAAAAGCTCAATAAATCAAAGCATTAATTAAGCTCCACCTCTAATGCCTAAAATAATAATTACTCATTCACCAAGACTTTGAGGGAGTGGTAAGAGGAACTATTAGAACTAAATGAAAAAAAGAACGGTAAGGGAATGCTAGCTCCTTGCTACTCAAAGTATAATACATGGACCAGCATCGCCAGCAATATCTGGGAGCTTGTTAGAAATGCAGACTCTCGGGACACATCAAGACCTACTGAATTAGAATTCGTTTCAGCAAAATCATCAAGGGATTTGTATACACACCAAAGTTTGTAAAGATCTGTTCTTGATCACGCAATTCAAAATAGGGTAAATACGAGCATTAAGGGTCACAAAAAGGAGTCAAGAAGACACAAAATAAAGATGTACAGCATTTTGAATATAGATTTCTTTTCCACTGGTCAATTTCTATAAGCAGCAAGTAGCCTAGTTCCTGTGAACAGGAGTTGCGTAGGTGAAAGGACATCCCTTGGCCCTCTACACTCAACAAACCTAACCAGGTGAATTACTTAAGGCTAGTTCACTGTCCTTTATCTACTACTTCTCTGAAAGAACTTAGGATATAACCCTGCAAGTTTGAAAGGGGAATATTAGGCACTTTCTAATCAAATTTAAAATTGAATAAACAAGTAGATATAATTATTCCAGGTACATCAGCAAAATCTGCAGCCAGAATACCAAGTCAATTTTGTTTTAAGTGCATACATATTGATAAAAATCTGATCTTAACTACATTTACTTGAGAAATATTCCTACTATAATATATGACAGCCATAAGAATGCCAAGGACAGGCTATATTTAATAGGGTTTGTAATCTCTTCCCCTTAAAATTACCTTGGGGGGCATAGCCATTTTCCAACCAAGGACAAGAAATATCAATAGGTATAATAAAATTGAATCATATTTTATTTAGATAAATTCTCATTCAGTATTTTTAAAGTGTTAGCACAATGTTTTCTAAGCTTCAACAAGCTTCTGAGAAATATCTAATTTGTGAGTGCTGCCTAGCAAAGGAGGCACAATGATTCAAACACAAGTTAATTATATTTATATATGCAAATAACTGCCCCATTCATCAGGAGAGATAAGGAAATATGCAGGAATTTGTTGGGTCAGGTAATTGGCCAGTTGCAAAATGGAATTTGCTATTTGCTAATCAATTGATTAATCATGATTTCTCAGGCTAAGCCTCTAGCACCATTTCTGTCAATCCATCCAAAAGAAGCTAAGTTAGAGTATGGTTGCATTAAAGCCACAAATACTCTGGCAGCATTGCATTTTTGTGTTTCCCAGGAAAGTACAGGTGTGTAACAAACCTATCCCAAAAAGCTTGCTTCTTTTCTGTTTCAGAGGCAAGTGACAGGCATTTACCAAAGGAAATTAGACTTAGGCTGTTCCCATAGAATTGGAGAGAAATTAGGTTCAAATTATCTCTACCAAGTAGGCCAAAACCCCCAATACAAACACACAAATCTATTTTCTCTATCTCTCCATGTTCCCTACAGGCAGAATTCTAATTCTATAAAATCAGTTCCTTTCCATTCAGCCACTAATAAGGGAAGAAGCTTCTTCTCAGCCTTCTCCTTCTCAGAAGTGGAGAGTGAATGTGTGTTTATGCCAATCAAGATAATTTATTTTTTCTCTCCAGTGATTGGTTTAGAAACAAGTATGCGATGTCATTTTGCACAATGTGATTCTACTAAGAGGTTAGAGTTTTCTCGACTTTTAAAAAGAGATTCATAAAGAGAAACTTCCACTCCGGTCTCTGGGTGAAATCGTCTGCACAAGATACTTGGAATTGCCACAAGCCATACTGGGGCCATGAGAGAAGCAAACCTAAGAAAAGCCAACACTCTGAAGCTGGCAGAAAGAAAAAATAAGAAGACTTGGGTCACTTATCATACAATTGAGCCAGTGAATAACTCAAACCTGGAAACATCCAATCTGTTATATAACATAATAAATCTATTTTGAATTTGATTTCTTTTACTTGCAGCCAAAATTTCTTAACTAACAAAGACAACTAGCCAGAGATTCTATCATTCCTGTTGTATCTGTTTTAGAGAGAAAAATCATGTGGAAACATACAGATTATTACACAGGTGTAAGATGACTCACAAAATGTGTATATCTAAATAAAGGGAAGGGTGTCCTGCAAACTTAAGACAAAAAGTTATTTCATTCAATGCCAGGGTAGACCACTAGTGTTTCCTTCTATAATATTAAGGCATCTATATACTATACTACATGTAATCTAATTAAATTGATATATTTCTGAGTTAATAATCAGAATTTAAAATATCAAGCTGCTTTTCACCTAATATGTGATCTTCACTTAGGTTCCTATTAACTAGTTTTCTGTTCTTTGTATATGACATTCATTCAGATTGCCCATAGCTGTCATCCGGAAATCTATGTTTCAAGTAAAAGTCTGAACTAAAATTGGCTTAAAAAATAAAGATAATTTATTGGCTCAAAAAATCCAATTGCTCTAATTATGGTATCTACAGACAAAGTTCTATTTTCTCTGAAGTCTAAACAAACATCTCACAACACATGGGCTGTGATTTGTATATAACCCCAGGCTAGGGTGAAGAAATAGAATACAATTGTGCAGGCTAATCATTGCCTACTCCTGGAACATGATTGGAGTTAATTCTACCTAAGCCAATTGGCAGATAAAGAAAGGGGTACATCCAAAAGAGAAACCATGGTCCTCTTGGTGAGATAAGTAAGGAAGAATGAATATGATGGAAGCAACAAATAAATATTCATTACACCATGGAGAAACTAGCATTAATTATTTAGACCGTGTGTGCAAATGAGTAAAATTTTGTTTCCACTTATTATGCTTAAATCCTGCTATTTTTAAGTTCTCATTTCTATTTAATCAGTTTAGGGATAAAGGTTACAAATTTGGCCCACAAGAAATAGACAAATAACGTTATAGAAAAATGACAGATACTACAGGACACCTCTTGAGTAACAAGGCTTATATTTGGCAGGTTGATTAGACATTGCAAAGTTTTTATGTTCTAACATTAAATTCCAAATGTGTCCACAACCCTCACAATGTCTGTCACTTGTTTTCTCTTGTAAGCACCAAGAAAATTACCCACAAAGGAAATTTCAGAGAAAGTCTAAATGCACTTTTGTCTATGATTAAATTCTGTGCACAAACTGCCTCACCTTTTTTTTTTCCTCTCCAACACCTCTACTTGGCAGATTACTAGGTGGCAGAGGGATAGAAAAAGGAATTTTAAGTAGAAATATTAGTTTTTAATGTCCGCAACTTTCACATAATAATTTTTTCTCTCACATTAAATACTTGCACAGTGTATTCAGCTATGCCCCATTTAGCACCACGTTATACAATTTTTAGCTAATTGTGTGTTGTTTCCTGTATAAGATTACTGCTATGTTATGTCATTCATCTTTTTGTAAGCTTTCTGCTCTCTTGAACAATGCAGCATATGACTTTCATTATTATTATGATACTTTAGTAGTTTTAATGAGGTAGGGCTTGGTGATTCATAATAAATATTATGCAATTTTCAACTTTGCAATTTTAAAAGTGGTGTAGTATCTGCTCAATTTACCCAAAGTTATTTCACATATATATCACATTACAAAGTTCAGGTAAAAATTCTAGCCAATTAAGCCAAAATAATGATATAATCATCATCTGATGCATTTATTAAGAATAAATGCAGAATAAGATCCAGGCGACACATTGTATTGTAATTGAATTGTATTTCATTTGTTTATCCATTCATTCATTTATGCATGCACGTATTCAAGCACATTCTAAGTTAGGTATTACATATACAAAATGCAGTAAGACACAAACTTTGTCTCCATAGTTTACTGTTGTCCATTCACTTGGGCAATTTATTAACTTATGTGAGTCTCTCAGCTTCTTTGTGGCTCAAAGCTCTCATCTGCCTGGTGAAGATAATAATAGTACCTTCTTATTGCCTATTTTTTCTTTTTCTTTTTTTAAGACAGGTTCTCACTCTGCCCATGCTGGAGGGCAGTGGTGGAATCATGGCTCACTGCAGCCTTGACCTTGCCAAGCTCAGGTGATCCTCCCAGGTGTGTGTCATCACAACCAGCTAATTTTTTGTACTTTTTGTAGAGATGGGGTTTCACCATGTTGCCCAGGCTGGTCTCAAACTCCTGAGCTCCAGAGATCCTTCCACTTCAGCCTCCCAAAGTGCTTAGATTATAGCTGTGAAGCACCTTGCCCAATCTACTCTCTGTTTTTTTTTAAAGTCTGTTGTGACTTTGAAATAAGAAAATATATATGAAGTGTTCAGAATTTATCTAACAACCTAACATATGCTTAATTATTGTTAGCTATTATTGTTAATATTATAGAAGGAGAGAAAGAGCAAACGAAGTTCTATTAATTTGTTTAATGTGCTGTAAGTACTGATGGCAGTGGTGGTCCATCTAGAGTGGCACTGCTATGATGCTGGCTGCAGTTGGGGAGGCACAACCAGGGCTGTATGCTCCATGGAGCCAGTGGGTGCTGGGAAAAGGAGAAAACCTTGGCTCCCTTCTGAGTTGACAGGGCTGGAGCTTTGTGCTCCTTGGGTGCAGCTTTGGCCACCCAGCAGCAGCAGCTGCAGACACAGGCGTCTCTGCACACTTGGAGACCAGGAGCAGGCAGGAGCTCTGCCCTCCCAGGTGCAGGTGCATCCACCCAAGCTGTGGCTGCAGAATCAGGGATCTCTGCACTCTCAGGGGCCCAGGAAGGCCCCACCTGCCACCACAGGCTTGGAAGTGTCTGCTCCCACTGTCTGGCCTCTCCCTACTCCCAGTGCCCACTCCAATCTTGGAGCAAAGTTGAGGCCAAGCCTGGATGCTGTCACAACCTGGCCAGGTATGTGCACACTTGAGGCAGCACTGACATGACAGCCCCTTGCCATTTTGGCCCCCTCTGGAATTTGGGCACCAATGAGCATGGGAGGGAAACCAAGGGGCTGCTGAAGGCAGCTCAGCACTGGCTTCCAGGCACCCCTCAGCAGGAAAAGCCTGGGTCCCATAAACAGCAGTAGAAGGCAGACAGTCTCCTGGGAAAGGGCTGGGTACTGGGGGAAGCCCCACCTTCAAGCCAAGGAAGACTCAAATCCTGGAGGCCAAGCTGCCAGTCCTGCAGACTGGAGTGGAAACTTATTATGTTTTTTCCGGGCCTGCCCATGGCCAACCACAACCAATCAGCATACATTTATTCTCTGAAGCCCATAAAAACCCCCGACTCAGCCAGACTCATATAGATGTCAGAACAATCACCTGCAAAGAGGAGCTACCCACTCCAGGGTCTCCTTTCTGCTGAGAGCTGAGCAGACGTTGGGACAACCAGCTGCAGAAAGGAGCTAACCATCCAGGATCTCCTCTCTGCTGAAAGCTGAACACTTGTTGGGACACCCTGGATGTGGAGAGGAGGTACCCACTGCAAGTCTCCTCTCAGCTGTTCTGTCACTCAATAAAGCTCCTCTTTACCTTGCTCACCCTCCACTTGCTCAGGTACCACATTCTTCCTGGACATGGGACAAGAACTCAGGACCCGCCAAATGGTGGGGCTGAAAGAGCTGTAACACAAATGGACTGAAACACGCCCCTTGCTTGCTACATTGCAGGCACCAAGAAGGAGAGAAGAGCTGTGGCCCTTCAGGGAACCCAGATGTAGGAGCTCCTGAAGCCAGGGCTGTGACACCCTCCTTGGGGCTCTGTGGTTCCTAGCAACTCCAAGCTTCTGGGTGCCACTGCATTCCCTGGTGCCAGCCGTGGAAGCTGCTTCCGGGGTGCCTGGTCCAGCCATAGCCTCACAGGGAGCCAGCATCGATGCTGGCACCTGGAGCTTCCTGCCCAGCCACAATGAGTGTGCCTGGCTGTGCTCAGTGGCTGGACCCCACACTCACTCATTCACACACTCCTCACAGCTCTGCTCCCCCTTGGCAAGCATGGGATACAGGCTGATAGCATGAGCTAAGTGCAGCCTGCCAGGCCTAGTGGGCCCAGTGGGTCTGAGCAAAACTTAGGCAAAGGTGCCACTGGCCACAGAGGTGTCTGGCTAGTGAAGAGACACCCCAAACATCCTGTAACAGTACTCACTATATTCCATCTTATGCAAAGCCCTCAGAATATAGCAAAGAGTATGACAGACATGTTATCTGCCCTCATAGGGTATTTAACCGAACTCATATATGAAGAAAAACACAACAATATTAAAAGGGAAGGGTAAAACATGGAGAATACAATTCAAATATGTTGATTATTTAGTATGTTTCATATCCTGTGCCAGAAACTTTAGAGAAATTGCTCATTTCATTATTACATGAGGAATCAAAGCTCAAAGAGTGATCCAAAGTCACATATTTTCTAAGAGTAGAACCAAGATACAAATACTGATTTATTTTCTTAACTCTATACTGTAAGAAATTCTAGCTTCCAGAGAGCAGTTAGAATACTTGTGGATGTCTTCACCAAGAAAGTTAAAAGCTATGAAAAATACCACTTTGAAAAATACATTTGAAGTAACTAGCTAACACTGATATTTCCTAATGTGTATTCTGTGGGACTATATTTGCATAAGATATTATTAAGATCAATTGATATTGGGAAGATAGCAGCAGTGCTATAGTTTATAATCTCCTTAAGTCCTATCATAAAATCAAAGCCACCAGGAAATAAAGCCAAAACCCACAGAAAAATGGCAAGTAGTAAAATGGCAAAGTAGCCTCATGACTCAATATGAGAGGTAGAAAGCCACCAACCACTATAATATATGTATAGTATCAGCATCTATATGGAAAGAAACAAAGGGAACCAAATGAGTGTCTGATAAATCAAAGAATAGGAAAATTTGAAAATTGTTCATAGATTTTCAAGAGTGGTCCAAGATTTTGAACTAGATAGTGTTGTTACCCATTTATAGCTGATTTGAAGGAGTCAGTTGTAAGGTCTAAAAGGTTGAAGCAATTTGGGCCTTATGCAATTTCTAAACCAATTAGCCAAATACCCTAAGACAAATATCAACCAAGGAGAAACTTCTGGAAATTGACTTGAAATTGGACAAGACAGCAGCAATAGAGAGAGGAAAAAAAAAAAAAAAGCATGTCCAGGTAAAAACGGGAGTGAGGAACAGAGTAAGAATATCTCTGAAAGTATAAGAACAGATTTTTAAGACTTCAGAAAATGACAGAAGTGTTTATAGGCCAAGGTTGTTAAAAACAACTAAACAACTATTATGACCTATTTTTCCCTTCGAAAAATATCAGGAAAATAAATTTTATTTTAACAAAGTCAATAGAAAAAATACACTAAAATTCCATTAAAAGGTATTATATTAAAAAAGATAGTAAGGATTAGAATTACATTCCTATAAGTAAGTTGTGACAAAAATACCTTCTTAAAAACTGATAGGCCAGGCACAGTGGCTCATGCCTGTAATCCCAGCACTTTAGAAGGCTGAGGGCAGATCACAAGGTCAAGAGATTGAGACCATCCTGGCCAACATGGTGAAACCCCGTCTCTACTAAAAATACAAAAATTAGTTGGGCATGGTGGCGTGTGCCTGTAGTAAATAATCCAAAATATATAAATTAAAACTAGGCAAAACATGAAAGAACATGAGGAATGATGAGGAAAACTCAGAAATAGGTTCTAGAATTTAGGAAAAAAACAGACATTTGAAAACATAAAAACTCAGTTTACAAATGAAGGCTAACCCAGGAGGAACACATGGACAAATCAACACAAACACACACAGAACGCTTGAAGAGAAATAGAAGTGAAAAAGAAGTTTAAAAAGTAAAAATATTAAATAATTTGAGTAAATATCGAATATGACAAGTAGAAAAATATTCAATAATATTTTACATCATAACATAAAAATAATATATATAATCAATGTTCTCAAAGAGGAAAACTCAAACAGTGCATAAGAACAAATATTTTAAAACTATAATTTTAGAAAACTTACTTGAAATATACATATGAAATGAAACTAAATATTGGAAAACATATTTATGAAACTTCATATTAAAATGTAGTTTATATATTTTTTGAAAATGCTATTTATATATATATAATTCTATTGATATTTACCATTATAAATTAATTCTATAAAAATACATATTTTCACAAATATATGAAATGGCATAGTAAACATAATGAGTTATGGTATTAGTTTCCCATACTTTCTGATTCTTAATTTGATAAATTCACTAAAACTTTTCAGTAATCATACAGCTCAAAAGCTACTACATCAAGGAATTTTGAAACAGCCCTTTCTTTTAATCCATTTATTGTTTTCAGAAAAATTATTATTCTTAAATATGTGATTGTTCTTATAACTCTTTTAAACTGTAAAGAAAAATACTACTTTTTCTTTTGTTTAAAAAGTCAGATATTCTCATTCCTTTGAACTAGAGAATTTATGAAAACTACAGTATCCCTCTGGACTATGTTGATGAAAACTACATAACTAACTAAAGTTTCATAATTTTAAGTATAAATTAAAGTAAGATTAGGCTCCCACTGTGTTTGATCTGTCGTTAACACATTTAACTCCTGCAACCCACCCAAAACATTTGCAATCGAAGCCAATCACACTCACACCCAAAACACTTGAGCTCTAGAATGCTTTCAAATCAATCTATGCAATACCATCTAGCCTGCCTTATCTGCAGTTTCGCTTTCTGCAGTTACAGTTACTTGCAGTAGATAAGGTTCAAAAATACTAAATGAAAATTCCAGAAATAAACAATTGATAAGTTTTAAATTGTGTGGTGCTCTGAGTAGTGTGATGAAATCTCACACCATCCTGCTCCATTCCCCTGGGATAGGAATCATCTCTTTGTCTAGCCCATGCTGTATATGTTACCCATATACTAAATGACTACTAAGTTAATCACTTAGTAGCCCTCTAGGTTATCAGATTGACTGTTGCTGTATCACAGTGCTTGTGTTTAAGTAACATTTATTTGACTTAATACAGCCCCAAATTGCAAGAGTAGTGATACTGGCAATTCAGATATCCCAAGATGAAGCTGTAAAGTACTTCTTTTAAGTAAAAAGGTGAAAGCTCATGACTTAATGAAAAAAAATATTGTATGCTGAGGTTGCCCACCCCCATAAAAGAACACCAAATCAAACAACTATCCACACACAAAAAAAGAACCTTCACAAGAACCAAAAATCAGGTGAGTGATCACAGTGCCTGGTTTTAATATCACATCAAGGAAAGAGACACTGAAGAAGGTAGAAAAGACAGTCTTGAATTGCTGACACCACTTCCCACATTCCCTGGCAGCAGTCATGTGGCATGGAGAGAGAATCTTTGTGCCTAGGGGAGAGAGAATGCAGTGATCGTGGGACTTTGCATTGGAACTCAGTGCTGCCTTGACACAGCAGAAAGCAACACTGGGCAGAATTTAGCCTATACCCATGGAGGGAGCATTTAGACCAGCCTTACCTAGGCAGAAATCATTCATCCCAGTGGTCAGAACCTGAGTTCTGGCTAGCCCCACATTTGCAGGCAAAAGCACTCTGAGGCTCTAAATAAACTCAAAAGGCAATCTAGGTCACAAAGAATGCAGTTCATGGGAAATCGTAGTGCTGGGCTGAGCTCAGTGACAATGGACTTGGGGTGCACATCACCTAGCGAAAAACCAGCTGGGGTGGCTAAGGGAGTGCTTGTGTTCCACTGCCCCAAACCCAGACAACACAGCTCATAGCTCTTGGAGACACTCCTTCCTTCTGCTTAAGGATAGTAGAGGGGAGAGTAAAGGGGACTTTGCTTTGCAACATGGATACCAGTGCAGCCATATTAGAATAGGGCACAGTATAGAATCCTGAGGCCCCCGTTCCAGGCCCTAACTCCCAGATGAAATTTCTGGACACATCCTAGGCCGAAAAGGAACCTGCTGCCTTGAAGGAAAGACCCAGTCCTGACAGGATTGATCACTTGCTGACTAAAGAGCCCCTGGGCCTGAATAAACATCAGCAGTACATAGGCAGTATTCTCTTTGGGCCATGGGTGAGACCCAGAGCCATATTGGTTTCAGGAGTGACCCAGCACATTCCCAGCTGCAGTGGCCATGGGGAGACTCCTTCTGCTTGAGGAAAGGAGAGGAAACAATAGAGAGAACTTTGTCTTGTAGCTTGGGCACCAGTTTGGCACACAGGGGTAGAATAAGTGGGCTCCTGGGGTTCACAATTTCAGGCCTGGATGTTGGATGGCATATTTGGACCCACCCTGAGCCAGAGGGGAACCTGTTGCCCTGAAGAAAGAGATTCAAGCCTGGCAGCATTCATCATGAGCTGGCTGAAGAGCCCTTGGGCCTTGAGTGAATATCGGTGGTAGCCAGACAGTACTCGCCATGGGCCTGGGGCAGTGGTGGCCATGAGGAGAGACTCCTTTGGCTTGAGGAGAGGGGAAGAAAGAGTGGGAAGGATGTTGTCTTGTGGCTTGGGTGCCAGCTCAGCCACAGTAGAATAAAGCGCCAGGTAGATTCCTAAGATTCTCAACTCCAACTCCTGTCTCCTAGATGAAATTATTGGACCCACCCTGGGCCATGTAAGCAGCTGGCTACTCCAAAGGAAAGGAGACAAACTTGGCTGGATTCACCAAATGCTGACTGAAGAGTCCTTGAGCTTTGAGTGAATATTGGTGATAACCAGGCAGTGTCAGCTGAGGCCCTGGGCCAGACCCAATGTGATGCTGGCTTCTGGTCTGACCCAGTGTGGTCACAATAGTGGTAGCTACAGGGGTGCTTGTGTTACCTCTCCCCCAGCTCTGGCAGCTCAGCAGAGAGTAAGAGAGAGGGATGGAGGGAGAGAGGGAGAGAGAGAGACTCCATTTGATTGGGGAAAATTAAGGGAAGAGAACAGGAGTTTCTACCTAATAATCCAGGGAATTGTCCTGGATATTACCCAAGACCAGCAAAGCAGTGCCTCTATAAGTCTGCAAGAGTCTCAGCATTACTGGGCTTTGGTTGCCCCTGAATGCACATATGGCTGCAGTGACCAAAGATTTAGACCATTTAATTTGCTATCAATACTTTGGCTGTGGCCCCACCCCAATTTCATCTTGAATTGCATCTCCCATAATTTTCACTTGTCAGGAGGGACCCAGTGGGAGGTATTTTAATCATGGGGGTGGGTCTTTCCCATGCTGTTCTCATGATAGTGAATAAGTCTCACGAGATCTGATGGTTTTATAAAGGGGGTATCCCCTACACAAGCTCTTTTGACTGACAGCATGTAAGATGTTACTTTGCTCCTCATTTGTCTTCCACCATGATTGTGAGGCCTCCCCAGCCATGAGGAACTGTGAGTCCATTAAATCTGTTTCCTTTATAAATTGCCTAGTCTCAGGAATGTCTTTAGCATCATGAGAACAGACTAACACAGTAAATTGGTACTGGGTAGTGGGGTGCTGCTATAAAGATACCAGAAAATGTGAAAGTGACTTTGGAACTGGGTAGAGGTTGGAACCATTTAGAGATTTCAGAAGATAAGAAAATGTGGGAAAGTTTGCAGCTTCCTAGAGACTTCTCGATAGTGATATGAACAATAAAGTCCAGACTAAGGTGGTCTCAAATGGAGATGAGGAACTTGTTGGGAACTGGAGTAAAGGTCACTCTTGCTATGCAAACAGACTGGTGGCATTTTGCCCCTGCCCTAAAGATCTGTGGAATTTTGAACTTAAGTGATTTAGGGTATCTGGCAGAAGAAATTCCTAACCTGCAAAGTATTCAAGAGGAAGCAGTGCATAAAAGTTTGGAAAATTTGCAGGCTGACAATGCAATAGAAAAGGAAAACCCATTTTCTGGGGAGAAATTCAACCCTGCTGCAGAAATCTGCATAAGCAACAAGGAGCCAAATCTTAATAATCAAGACAATGAAGCAAAGGTCTCCAGGACATGTCAGAGGTCTTCACAACAGCCTCTCAAATCACAGGACCAGAGGCCTAGGAGGGAAAATGGTTTTGTGGGCCAAGCCCAGAGCCCCCTGCTGTGTGAATCCTAAGGACATAGTGACCTGCATCCTAGCTGCTCCAGCTGTAGCTAAAAGGGGCCAAGGTATAGGTTGGGCCCTGGCTTCAGGGGATGCAAGCCCCAAGCCTTGGCAGCTTCCACATGGTGTTGACTGGGTGGGTGCACAGAAGTCAAGAATTGAGGTTTGGGAACCTCTGCCTAGATTTCAGAGAATGTATGGAAATGCCTGGCTGTCCAGGCAAAAGTTTGCTGCAAGGGTGGAGCCGTCATGGAGAACCTCTGCTGGGACACTGCAGCAGAAGAGAAATGTGGGGTGGGAAGCCCCACATGGAGCCCCCACTGGGGATTGCCTAGAGAAGCTGTGAGAAAGGGCCACCATCCTTCAGACCCCGGAATGGTAGATCCATCCAGAATGGTAGGTCCACAGACAGCTTGCAGTGTGTACCTGGAAAAGTCACAGACACTCAATGCCAGCCCATGAAAGCAGGCAGGAGGGTTGCTAGCCTGTGAAAGCAGCCTGTGAAAGCAGCCAGCAAAGCCACAGGGTGGGGTTGCTCAGGGTTGTGAAAACCCACCTCTCACATCAGTGTAACCTGGATATGATACATGGAGTCAAAGGAGATCATTTTGGAGCTTTAAGATTTGACTGCCCTGCTGGATTTTGGACTTGCATGGGGCCTGTAGCCCCTTGGTTTTGGCCAATTTGTCTCATTGGAATGGGAGTATTTACCCAATGCCTGTACCCCCATTGTATATAGGAAGTAACTAACTTGCTTTTTTGATTTTTTTTTTTTTTTTGAGATGGAGTCTTGCTCTGTCACCCAGGCTGGAGTGCAGTGGTGTGATCTTGGCTCACTGCAAGCTCTGCTTCCTGGGTTCACACCATTCTTCTGCCTTGGCCTCCCGAATAGCTGGGACTACAGGTGCCCACCACCACGCCTGGCTAGATCTTTTGTATTTTTAGTAGAGACAGAGTTTCGCCATGTTAGCCAGGATGGTCTCGATCTCCTGACCTTGTGATTTGCCCACCTCGGCCTCCCAAAGTGCTAGGATTAGAGGCGTGAGCCACCGCATCCGGCCACTAACTTGCTTTTGATTTTACAGGCTCGTAGGCAGAAGAGAATTGCCTTGTCTCAGATGAGACTTTGGACTGTGGACTTTAGAGTTAATGCTGAAATAAGACTTTGGGGGATTTTTGGGAAGGCATGATTGGTTTTGAAAAGTGAGGACATGAGATTTGGGAGGGGCTGGGGCAGAATGATATTGTTTGTCTGTGTCCCCACCCAAATCTCCTCTTGAAAATTAGCTCCCATAATTCCCACATATGATAGGAGGGTCCTGGTGGGAGGTAACTGAATCATGGGGGTGGGTCTTTTCTGTGCTGTTCTCACGATAGTGAATAAGTCTCACAAGACCTGGTGGTTTTATAAAGGGGAATTCCCCTACCCAAGTTTTCTTGCCTGCTGCCATGTGAGACGAGAGTTTGCTCCTCATTCACCTTCTGCCAGGATTGTGAGCCCTCCCCAGCCATGTGGAACTGAGTCCATTAAACCTGTTTCCTCTATAAATTACCCAGTTTCGGGTATGTATTTATTAGCAGCGCGAGAACAGACTAACACATTTGGAAGGCCTTCCCGAGAAAAATAAGTACAAACAAGCCCAGACTGCAAAGATTATAATAAACAATTAACTCTTCAATGCCCAGACATCAAAGAACATCCATAAGCATCACAGCCATCCAGGAAAACATGACCTCACCAAACAAACTAACTAAGGTACTAGTGACTAATTCTGGAATGACAGAGATACGTGACTTTTCAGGCAGAGAATTTAAAATAGTTGTTTTGAGTTAGCGCAACAAAATTTAAGATAACACAGAGAAGGAATTCAGAATACTACCAGGTAAATTTAACAAAGAAGTTAAAGTAATTGTTTAAAGAAAAGCAGAAATTTTGGAGCTGAAAAATTCAACTGACATACTGAAGAATGCCTCAGAGTCTCTCAACAGCAGAATTGATCAAGCAGAAAAGTGAATTAGTGAGCTTAAAGACAGGATATTTGAAAACACACAGTCAGAGGAGGCAAAAGAAATAACATAGAAAAGAATAAAGCATGCTTACAAGATCTAGAACACAGCCTCACAAAGGCAAATATTAGAGTACTGGCCTTAAAGAGAAGGTAGAGAGAGAGAGATCTGGATCAAAAGCTATTCAAAGGGATAATAACAGAGAACTTTTAAAACCTAGCCAAAGATATAAATATTCAAATACAAGAGAGTTATAGAACACTAAGCAGATACATGTCAAATAGGCCTCCCTCAAGGCATTTAATAATCAAACTGCCAAAAATCAAAGCTAGAGAAAGGATTCTAAAAGCAGCAAGAGAAAAGAAACAATGTACAAAAACAATACATCTGGCAGCAACCATCTCAGTGGCAATATTACAGGACAGAAGAAAGTGGCATAACATATTTAAAATGCTGAAGAAAAAAAACTTCTATTCTAGAATAGTATATCCAGTCAAAATATCCCTCAAACATGAAGGAGAATAAAGACCTTCCCAGACAAACAAAAACTGAGGAATTTTAACAACACCAGCAGTATCCCACAAGAAATGTTAAACAGAGTTTTTCAATCTGAAAAAATAGGGTGTTAATGAGCAATAAAAAATCATCATCTGAAGGTAAAACCTCACTGGTAATAGTTAAATATATAGACAAACAGAATATTATAACACTGTAATTATGGTATATAAACTAACATCTTCAGTAGGAAGACTAAAAGATGAAACTATGAAAAATAATAACTGCAATAACTTTTCAAGATATCCAGTATAATAAAATATAAATAGAAACTACAAAAAGTTTAAAAAATTAGGGAGGATGAAGTTAAAGTATATAATTTTTATTAGGTGTTTTTTCTGCTTGTTTCTAAGTGTGTTTACTTTTGCAATCAGTGTTAAGCTGTCATCATGTTAAAATAATGAGTTACAATATGTTATTTGCAAGCCTCATGGTAACCTCAAATCAAAAAATATACAACAGGTACACACAAAATAAAAAGCAAGAAGTTAAATTATACCACCAGAGAAAATCACCTTCATAAAAAGGAAGACAAGATGGAGAAGAAGAAGGAAGTAAAGATCGCAAAACAATTAGAACATGAACAACCAAATGGCAGGAGTAAGTGCTAACTTATCAATAATAACATCACATGTAAATGGACTAAACTCTCCAATCAAAGGTTATATGGCTCCAATCAAAGGCTAAATGGATAAAAACA
This sequence comes from Homo sapiens, assembly GCF_000001405.40. Classification (NCBI taxonomy): domain Eukaryota; kingdom Metazoa; phylum Chordata; class Mammalia; order Primates; family Hominidae; genus Homo; species Homo sapiens. The sequence goes on along the minus strand of NC_000011.10, from coordinate 37,214,659 downwards.
AGGCCCAGAAATCTATTGCCTACAAGACACACATAGATTGAAATTCAAGAGATAATAAAACTTATTCCATGCAAACGAAAGCCAAAACAAACCAGTAGTAGCTATACTTACATTGGACAAAATAAATTTCAAGAAAAGAATCTATAAAAAAGAGACAATGTTATTGCATAATGAAAAAGAAGTCAATTCAGCAAGAGGATTTAATAATGGTAAATACATATGCACTAAACACTGGAGTACCCAGATATATAAGGCAAATATTATTAGAGCTAAAGAGAGAGAGATGCCAATCTAATAATAGCCAAATAATTCAACACCCTGCTTTTATCATTTCACAGATCATCAGACAGAAAATTAACAGAAATACTGGACTTAATTCATAAAATAGACCAAATAGACCTAATATTTACGAACCATTTCATCCAACAGCTGCAGAATACACATTATTCTTCTCAGCACATGGACAGTTTTCAAGGATATACATGTTAGGCCATAAAATAAGCTTTTATAAGTTAAAAAAATTGAAATCATATCAAATATCTTCTCTGAACACAAGCGAATAAAACTAAAAATCAATAGCAAGAGGAACTTTGGTATCTATATGAGCATATGGAAATTAAACAATATGCCCCAGAATAACCAATGGGTCAATGAGGAAATTGAAAAACTTTTTGAAACAAATGAAAATAGAAAACAACATACCAAAACTTATGGGATACAGCAAAAGCAGTACTTAGAGGAAAATTTATAGCCATAAGCACCTATATCATAAAGTAGAAAAACTTCAAATAACCTAATGATGCATCTTAAAGAACCAAAAAAGCAAGAGGAAACAAACCCAAATTATTAGAAGACAAAATAATAAATATCAGAGCAGAAATAAATGCAATTTAAACTAAAAAATAATCCAAAAATCATACAATGAAAAAATTTTTTGAAAAGATAAACAAAATTGACAAATCTTTAGCCAGACTAAGAAAAAAGAGAGAAGGCTCAAATAAATAAAATGAGTGATGAAAAAGGAGACATTTGATATCACAGAAATTCAAAAGATTATTAGAGACAAGTATGACCAAGTATATGCCAAAAAAATGGAAAACATAGAAGTGGACACGTTCCTAGACACATGCATCCTACCAAGTTTGAACCATGAAGAAATGTAAAACCTGAATAGACCAATAACAAACAATGAGATTTAAGCCATAATCAATAGTCTCCCAGGGGGACAAATAAAAGCCTAGTACCCAGTGGCTTCACTGTTGTATTTTTCCAAACATTTAAAGAGGAACTAATACCAATTAAATTCGAACTATTTTGAAAAAGAGAGGAGGAAGGAGTACTTTCAAACTGAAACTCATTTTATGAGACAACTATTACACTGCTACTAAAACCAGACAAAGACACATTAAAATATATATATGTGCAAATATTCCTGATAAACATTGATTAAAACTCCTCTACAAAATATTAGAAAAATGACTTGAATAATGCATTTAAAATATCACGTATCAAGACCAAGTGGGCTTTTCCCAGGGATGCAAGGATGATTCAGCATAAGCAAATCAATCACAATGCGATACCTCATATCAACAGAATGAAAGACAAAAACCATGTGATCATTTCAGTTGATGCTGAAAAGGCATTTTATAAAATTTAACATGCCTTTATTTAAAAAAAACCATTAAAATACTAGGTAGAGAAGAAACATACATCAATATATTACAAGTCATATATGACAGACCCACAGCTAGTACCATACTGAAAGGGGAAAAACTGAAAGCCTTTCTTCTAAGAAGAAAGGAAGACAAGGATGCCCACTTTCACCACTGTTATTTAACAGAGTACAGGAAGTCCTAGCTAGAGGACAACAGATTACAGAGCAATCAGACAACAGAAAGACATAAAGGACATCCAAACTGCAAAGGAAGAAGTCAAATTATCTCTGTTTGCATATGAAATGATCTTATATTTGGAAAAGCCTATAAAGGCTCTGTCAAAAAACTATTAGAACAATAAACAAATTCAGTGTTGTTGCCAGATACAAAATTAACATACAAAAATGAGTAGCATTTCTATGTGCCAACAGCAAACAATCTGAAAAAGAAATCAAGAAAGTAATTTACAAGGGCAACAAATAAAATTAGATACCTAGGAATAAACTTAACCATAATGTAAAAGATCTCTACAATGAAAACTATAAAACATTGATGCAAGAAATTCAAGAGGACACACAAAAAAGGAAAGATATTCCATGTCCATGGATTGGAAGAATCAATAGTTTTTAAATGTTCATACTACCCCAAAGCAATATACAGATTCAATGCAATTCCTACCAAAATATAAATGATATTCTTCACAGGAATAGAAAAAATATTCTCAAATTTACATGGAAAAAAAAAGACTCAAAATAAACAAAGCTATCCTAAGCAAAAAGAACAAAACTGGAGGAATTATATTACCCGACTTCAAATTATACTACAGAGCTATAGTAACTAAAACAGCATGGTACAGGCATAAAAACATTGTTCTCTATTCTATTCCATTTTTTCACATAGACGAATAGAACAGAGCTTAAAATCCAGAAATAAATCCATACATCTACAATGAATTCATTTTCAACAAAGGTGCCAAGAACATACATTAGGGAAAGGACAGTTGCTTCAATAAATAGTGTTAGGAAAATTAAATATTCACAAACTGAAGAATAAAACCAGACCCTTATCTCTTGCCACATACATAAATCAAATAAAAATAGACTAAAGATTAAATCTAAAACTGCAAACTATGAAACTACTACAAGAAAACACTGGAGAAACTCTCCAGGACATTGGACTGGGAAAGATTTATTGAGCAATACTCCACAAGCCCAGGCAAACAAAGCAAAAATGGGATCACACCAAGTAAAAAATAAAATAAAATAAAATAAAAATAAACAAATAAATAAAAACCTTCTGTGTGAAAAAGGAAACAATCAACAAAGTGAAGAGACAACTCCTGGAATGGAAGAAAATATTTGCAAACTACCCATCTGACAAGGGATTAATAACCAGAATATTTAAGGAGCTTAAACAATGCTATAGTATTCCTGGGCAAGATGACCGAATAGGAACAGCTCTGGTCTTCAGCTCCCAGCGAGACCAATGCAGAATGTGGGTGATTTCTGCATTTCCAACTAAGGTACCTGGTTCAACTCATTGAGACTGGTTAGACAGTGGATGCAGCCCATGGAGGGCGAGCAGAAGCAGGGTGGGGTATTGCCTCATTCGGGAAGTGCACAGGGTCAGGGAACTCCTTCCCCTAGCCAAGGGAAGCCATGAAGGACCATGCTGTGAGGGACAGTGCTATTCAGCCCAGATACTATGCTTTTCCCATGGTCTTCGCAACCCATAGACCAAGAGATTCACTCGGGTGCCTATACCACAAGGGCCCTGGGTTTCAAGCACAAAACTGGGTGGCCATTTGGCCAGACACTGAGCTAGCTGCAGGAGTCTTTTTGTCATACCGCAGTGGCACCTGGAACGCTAGAAAGACAGAACCATTCCCTCCCCTGGAAAGCGAGCTGAAGCCAGGGAGCCAAGTGGTTTTGCCCACTGGATCCCATCCCCACAAAGCCGAGCAAGCTAAGATCCACTGGCTTGAAATTCTTGCTGCCAGCACAGCAGTCTAAAGTTGACCTGGGATGCCCCAGCTTGGGGTAGGGGAAAGGGGTTCACCATTAATGAGGCTTGAGTAGGCGGTTTTCCCCTCACAGTGTGTAAAAAGCAGCTGGGAAATTCAGACTGGGCAGAGCCCACCACAGTGCCACAAAGCCACTGTAGCCAGACTGCCTTTCTAGATTCCTGCTCTCTGGGCAGGGTATCTCTGAAAGAAAGGCAGCAGCCCTAGTGAAAGGCTTATAAGATAAAATTCCCATCTCCCTGGGACAAAGCACCTGGGGGAAAGGGCGGCTGTGGCCAGAGCTTCAGCAGACTTAAACATTCCTGCCTGCCAGCTCTGGAGAATAGCAGATCTCCAGCACAGCGCTCAAACTCTGCTAAGCGACAGACTGCCTCCTCAAGTGGGTACCTGACACCTGTGCCTCCTGACTGGGAGACACTTCCTAACAGGGGTCGACAGGTACGTCATACAGGAGAGCTCTGGCTGGCATCTGGTGGGTGCCCCTCTGGGAGGAAGCTTCCAGAGGTAGAAGCAGGCAGCAATCTTTGCTGTTCTGTTCTACAGCCTCTGCTGGTGATATCCAGCAAACAGAGTCTGGAGTAGACCCCCAGCAAACTCAAGCAGACCTGCAGAAGAGGGGCCTGACTGTTAGAAGGAAAACTAACAAAAAGAAAGCCATAGCATCAACATCAACAAAAAGGACAATCACGCAAAAACTCCATTTGAAGGTCACCAACAGCAAAAACCAAAGGCAGATAAATCCACGAAGATCAAGAAAAACCAGCTCAAAAAGGCTGAAAATTCCAAAAACCAGAAGGCCTTTTCTCCTCCAAAGGATCACAATGCCTCACCAGCAAGGGAATAAAACTGGACGGTGAATGACTTTGACTAATTGACAGAAGTAGGCTTTAGGAGGTGGGTAATAACAAACTCCTTTGAGCTAAAGGAGCATGTTCTAACCCAAAGGAAGGAAGCCAAGAACCTTGAAAATAGGTTAGACAAATTGCTAATTAGGGTAACCAGTTTGGAGAAGAAAATAAATGACCTGATGGAGCTGAAAAACACAGCGTAAGAACTTCGTGAAGCATACACAAGTATCAATAGCCAAATCAATCAAGCAGAAGAAAAAATATCAGAGACTGAAGATCAACTTAATGAAATAAAGCATGAAGACAAGATTAGAGAAAAAAGAATGAAAAGGAACGAACAAAGCCTCCAAGAAATATGAGCCTATGTGAAAAGACCAAACTTACGTTTGATTGGTGTACCTGAAAGTGACGGGGAGAATGGAACCAAGTTGGAAAACATACTTCAGAATATCATCCAGGAGAACTTTCCCAACATGGCAAGACAGACCAACATTCAAATTCAGGAAATACAAAGAACACCACAAAGATTCTCCTCGAGAAGCGCAAACCCAAGACACATAATAATCAGATTCACCAAGGTTGAAATGAAGGAAAACAATGTTAAGGGCAACCAGGGAGAAAGGTTGGGTTACCCACAAAGGGAAGCCCATCAGACTCACAGTGTATCTCTCTGCAGAAACCCTACAAGCTAGAAGAGAGTGGGGGCCAATATTCAACATTCTTAAAGACAATAATTTTCAATCCAGAATTTCATATCCAGTCAAACTAAGCTTCATAAGTGAAGGAGAAATAAAATCCGTTACAGACAAGCAAATGCTGAGGGATTTTGTCACCACCAGGCCTGCCTTAAAAGAGCTCCTGAAGGAAGTACTAAATATGGAAAGGAAAAACCAGTACCAGCCACTGCAAAAACAAACAAAAATATAAAGACCATTGACATTATAAAGAAACTACATCAAGTAATGGGCAAAATAACCAGCAAGTATCATAATGACAGGATCAAATTCACACATAAAAATATTAACCTTAAATGTAAACAGGCTAAATGCCACAATTAAAAGACACAGACTGGCAAATTGGGTAAAGAGTCAAGACCCATCAGTGTGCTGTATTCAGAAGACCCATCTCATGTGCAAAGGCACATATAGGCTCAAAATAAAGGGATGGAAGATATTTATCAAGCAAATGGAAAGCAAGAAAAAGCAGGGTTTGCAATCCTAGTCTCTGATAAAACAGACTTTAAGCCAACAAAAATCAAAAGAGACAAAGAAGGGCATTACATAATGGTAAAGGGATCAATGCAACAAGAAGAGCTGATTATGCTAAATATATATGCACCTAATACAGGAGCACCCAGATTCATAAAGCAAGCTCTTAGAGACCTACAAAGAGACTTAGACTCCCACACAATAATACTGGGAGACTTTAACACCCCACCATCAATATTAGACAGATCAATGAGACAGAAAATTAACAAGGATATTCAGGACTTGAACTCAGCTGTGGACCAAATGGATGTAAAAGACATCTACAGAACTCTCCACCCCAAATCAACAGAATATATATTCTTCTCAGCACCATACAGCACTTATTCTAAAATCGACTACTTATGTGGAAGTGTTTTACTTCCACATAATTGGAAGTAAAGCACTCCTCAGCAAATGCAAAAGCATGGAAATCACAACAAGCAGTCTCTCAGACCACAGTGCAATCAAATTAGAACTCAGGATTAAGCACCTCACTCAAAACCACACAACTACATGAAAACTGAACAACCTGCTCCTGAATGACTACTGGGTAAATAACAAAATTAAGGCAGAAGTAAATAAGTTCTTTGAAACCAATGAAAACAAAGACACAATGTACCAGACTCTTTGGGACACAGCTAAGGCAGTGTTTAGACGGACATTTATAGGACTAAATGCTCACAAGAGAAAGCAGGAAAGATCTAAAATCAACATCCTAACATCACAATGAAAAGAAACAGAGAAGCAAGAGCAAACAAATTCAAAAGCTAGCAGAAGACAAGAAATAACTAAGATCAGAGCAGGACTGAAGGAGATAGAGACACAAAAAACCCTTCAAAAAATCAATGAATCCAGGAGCTGGTTTTTTGAAAAGATTAACAAAATAGATAGATCACTAACCAGACTAGTAAAGAAGAAAAGAAAGAAGAATCAAATAGACACAACATAAAATGATAAAGAGGATATCACCACTGATCCCACAGAAATACAAACTACCATCAGAGAATACTATACACACTTCTAAGCAACTAAACTAGAAAATATAGGAAAAATAGTTACATTCCTGGACACATACACCTTCCCAAGACTAAACCAGGAAGAAACTGAATCCCTGAAGAGACCAATAACAATTTCTGAAATTGAGGCAGTAATTAAAAGCCTACCAACCAAAAAAACCCCAGGGCCAGAGGGATTCACAGCTGAATTCTACCAGAGATAAAAAGAGGAGCTGGTACCATTCCTTCTGAAACTATTCCAAAAAAGAGAAAAAGAGGGACTCCTCCCTAATTCATTTTATGAGTCCAGCATCATTCTGACATCAAAACCTGGCAGAGACACACACAAAAAAAGAATTTCAGGCCAATATCACCAATGAAGATCGATGTGAAAATCTTCAATACAATACTGGCAAACTGAATCCATCAGCACATTAAAAAGCTTATCCACCACGATCAAGTCAGCTTCATCCCTGGAATGCAAGGTTGCTTCAACATATGCAAATCAATAAACATAATCCATCACATAAACAGAACCAATGACAAAAACCGCACGATTATCTCAATAGATGAAGAAAAGGCCTTAGATAAAATTCAACACACCTTCATGCTAAAAGCACTCAATAGTTTATAGTTAATGAAACGTATCTCAAAAGAATAAGAGCTATTTATGACAAACCCACAGCCAATATAATACAGAATGGGCAAAAGCTAGAAGCATTCCCTTTGAAAACTGGCAGAAGACAAGGATGCCCTCTCTCACCACTCCTATTCAACATAGTATTGGAAGTTCTGGCCAGGGCAATCAGGCAAGAGAAAGAAATAAAGCATATTCAAATAGGAAGCGAGGAAGTCAAATCATCGCTGTTTGCAGATGAAATGACTGTATGTTTAGAAAACCCCATTGTCTCAGCCCCAAAACTCCTTAAACTGACAGGCAACTTCAGCAAAGTCTCAGGATACAAAATCAATGTTCACAACTCACAAACATTCCTATACACTAATAAGAGACAAACAGAGAGCCAAATCATGAGCAAACTCCCATTCACAACTGCTACAAATAAAATAAAATACCTAGGAACACAACTTACAAGGGATGTGAAGGACCTCTTCAAGGAGAACTACAAACCACTTCTCAAGGAAATAAGAGAGGACACAAACAAATGGAAAAAGATTCCATGCTCATGGATAGGAGGAATCAATCTCGTGAAAATGGCCATAATGTCCAAAGTAATTCATACATTCAGTGCTATTCCCATCAAGCTACCATGACTTTCTTCACAGAATTAGAAAAAAGTACTTAAATTTCATATGGAAACAAAAAAGAGCCCATATAGCCAAGACAATCCTCAGCAAAAGAACAAAGCTGGAGGCATCATGCTACTTGACTTCAAACTATACTACAAAGCTACAGTAACCAAAACAGCCTGATGGTGGTACAAAAACAGATATATAGATGAATGGAACAAAACAGAGGCCTCAGAAATAACACCACACATCTACAACCATGTGATCTTTGGCAAACCTGACAAAAACAAGCAATGGGGAAAGGATTCCCTATTTAATAAATGGTCTTGGGAAAACTGGCTAGCCATATGCAGAAAACTGAAACTGAACCACTTCCTTACATCATACACAAAAATTAACTCAAGATGGATTAAAGAATTAAACATAAGACCTAAAACCATAAAAACCCTAGAAGAACACCTAGGCAATACCCTTCAGGACACAGGCATGGGCAAAGCCTTCATGAATAAAACACCAAAAGTAATGATAACAAAAGCCAAAATTGACAAATGGGATCTAATTAAACTAAACAGCTTCTGCACAGCAAAAGAAACTATCAGCAGAGTGAACAGGTAACTACAGAATGGGAGAAAATTTTTGCAATCTATCTATCTGACAAAGGGCTCACATCCAGAATCTACAAGGAACTTAAACAAGTTTACAAGAAAAAACAACCCCATCAAAAAGTGGGCAAAGGATATGAACAGACACTTTTCAAAAGAAGACATTTATGCCACCAACAAACATATGAAAAAAAGCTCATAATCACTGGTCATTAGAGAAATGCAAATCAAAACCACAATGAGATACCATCTCACACCAGTTAGAATGACAATCATTAAAAAGTCAGGAAACAACAGATGCTGGAGAGGATGTGGAGAAATAGGAACACTTTTACGCTGTTGGTGGGAGTGTCAATTAATTCAACCATTGTGGGAGACAGTGTGGTGATTCCTCAAGGATCTAGAATTAAATTCCTCAAGGATCTAGAATTAGAAATACCACTTGACCCAGCAATCCCATGACTGAGTATATACCCACAGTATTATAAATCATTCTACTATAAAGACACATGCACACCTATGTTTCTTGCAGCACTATTCACAACAGCAAAGACTTGGAACCAACCCAAATGCCCATCAATGTTAGACTGGATAAAGAAAATGTGGCACATATACACCATGGAATACTATGCAGCCATAAAAAAGAATGAGTTCATGTAATTTGCAGAGACATGGATGAAGCTGGAAACATCATTCTAAGCAAACTAACACAGGGGCAGAAAACCAAACACCGCATGTTCTCACTCATCAGTGAGAGTTGAACAATGAGAACATATGGGCACAGGGAGGGGAACATCACGCACCAGGGCCTGTCAGGGGGTCAGGGGAAGTGGGGGAATACATTAGGAGAAATATCTAATGTAGATGACAAGTTGATGGGTGCAGCAAACCACCATGGCACATGTATACCTATGTAACAAACCTGCACATTCTGCACATGTATCCCAGAACTTGAAAGTATAAAAAAAGCTATAGAAAAAAATTTAATAATCCAATTTTTAAAAATGAGCAGAAGATCTGAGCAGTCATTTCTCAAAAGAAGACATACAAATGAAAAACAATAAAATGAAAAGGTTCTCAACACCATTGATCATCTGAGAAATGCAAATCAAGATTACCATGAGATGTCATCTCACCCCAGTTAAAATGGCTTTTATCCAAAAGACCGACAATAACAAACGCTAGCAAGGATGTGGAGAAAGGGAACCCATGTAAATTGTTGGTGAGAATCTAAATTAGTATAGCCACTATGGAGAAAAGTATGGAGGTTTCTCAGAAAACTAAAGATAGAACTACCATATGATCCAATGATCCCACTACTGGGTATTCATCCAAAGGAAATGAATTTGGTATGTCAAGGCAATATCTGCACCCCGATGTTTATTGCAGCATATTCAGAATAGCCAAGATTTGCAAGCAACCCAAGTGTCCATCAACAGATGAATGGATATTGAAAATGTGGTACTTATACACAATGGAGAACTATTCATCAAAAAAAAAAAAAAAAAACAGAATGAGATCCTGTCATCTGTAACAAGGATGGAACTAGAGGTCATTATACTAGTTAAGTGAGATTACCCAGGTACAGAAATACAAACTTCTCATTTTCTCACTCATTTGTGAGAGCTAAAAATTAAAACAGTTGAACTCATGGAGATAGTAAAATGATGGGTATCAGAGGCTAGGAAGGGTAGTGGGGATGAGGAAGAAGTAGGGATGGTTTATGGGTACAAAATATAGTTAAATAGAATGAATAAGGTCTAGTATTTTACAGCACAACAGGGTGACTAAGTCAATAATTATTTATTGTACATTTAAAAATGACTAAAAGTTCAACTGGTATGTTTGTAACATACAAAAAGGGATAAATGCTTTAGGTAATTGACACCCTCCCACAAAAAAAGAATGATTCTTTATCCATAAAATTGTAAAAAAAAAAAAAGGAATCTGCAAAATAAATTAAAAAGTAAGTTACAGTCACAGTTCATAATAAGTACTTAGTTAAGATAGAAAAAAACAGTAAATCTGTGAGTGTAAGACATGAATATAAACATGTCCCAATGGAAATCAATCAGGTTTAGTATTATCCAGAGTTTCAGGCATTCACTAGGGGCCTTTGAATATATCCCTTGAAGATAAGGGGGACTGCTGTACCTACAATAATAATGGCTAATGTTTTATGAATATTATTTATGAATCAGGCACATTGTGAAGTAGTTTTTGACGTGTATATAATTATTAATTTTATGTGTCAATTTAGTTGAGTCACATTATTCAGATATTTCTCCTAATAAGAAAGCCCTGTCTTCTTGGATCTGGAGAGAAATTCTAGGTCATACTCATTTCAACAACAAACAACAAAAAATTTTAGAGGACATGCACAGGATACGTGTCAAGTTATTTTGGTTTATATCCTACTGAGTAGGACTTATTATCTAATTCCTACAGCATGCTGACATGGAGCTGATCTAATATCTACCAATTTTTCTAATTATCTGCTTAAAATTCTTCCTGTATACATATGTTTATGTATCAAGGACACAATTTGATTTGGATATCTACCACACTTATGTGGCATATAATGATTCATGTACTTGTTATGAAGAAATGGATTTCTTTCCCATGTCCACTTATTTCCACAAAGCAAACCTGGTCTCAATCCAGAGGTATAAAGAAGCTAATATACCTCCCAAAGTGCCCAACTCATGATTAACACAGTCAGGTCACAATGGCACCACTTAGCAGTTCTGGAAGAAGGCCTAAATTACTGCCAGGCACTGGTTCAGATGCCCCGGGAATTTGGCTCAACATATTTTTCTGTAGCTCTGGGAAGCATGCTAAATCATACTCATCATGATTCCTGCCAACAGTGATGCTGAATGGGTGCCACGGTTTTCCTAAAACCTTTTGAGAGATACTTCCTGTGGTAACACATTCCTATGCTTTAGAATAAAATTGTAGAAGGTCAGAGCAGTAAGAAAACGTAAGAATCATAAATCGGCACCCTAATTTTACAGATATAGAAACGAAGACTCAAAAAGTTTGGGGGGGGGACAACTTGTTTAAGTGTACCAAGAAGCTAGCTGCGTGCTCTATTTTTTTGTAAATGTTTGGTTTTGTTTTATCTTCACCATCCCAAATGCTCCTCCTAATAAGGTATGCTCGTCAGCAAAATCAGGCCAAAATAATTCCGTCAAAAACTGTAGATTTTTATCTTCTGTCTATTCTTTTATTCCTTTCATGGTAACTTACCCCAACAAGTCGTTTTTCTTTAATTTACGAATGCTGGGGGCAGCCTTCTCTGAGTAATTTTGAGTTTATCGTGATTTTTATTAACTATAGTGAAAACACTTTCTTTTGTCTAATGTCTAAGGCAGCAAGTCTGCATCAGGTAGCCCCTGTAGCGAAGCCCTGAAGTTGGTTACTTTTCCCTTTTTTCCTGGTTTTTTTTTTTTTCTTTTTGATACGGTGTCTCGCTCTGTCACCCAGGCTGGAGTGCAGTGGCGCGATATCGGCTCACCGCAAGCTCCGCCTCCCGGGTTCACGCCATTCTCCTGCCTCAGCCTCTCGAGTAGCTGGGACTACAGGCGCCCGCCACCACGCCCGGCTAATGTTTTGTATTTTTAGTAGACATAGGGTTTCACCATGGTCTCGATCTCCTGACTTCATTATCCGCCCGCCTCAGCCTTCCAAAGTGCTGGGATTATAGGCGTGAGCCACCGTGCCTGGCCTCACTTTTCCCTTTCAATGCCCTAGCTATAAACCCTGCTGCTCATATTTTCCAAACATCAGGGATTTCTGCAATGCTTCTGCCACCAACAGCAAAACCCAAAGTGGGTGAGAAGAGTGAAACTCAGAAGGCTGGAGCAAATGCAGACAGCCCAGGGAGTGCAGAGGAAGCCCAGAGAGACATAGTCCTTGGTGGGATCAAAATGGACACCTTTCCTGAGTGTCAATATATTTTACCCCATATGTAGAGTGCAACAGGAAAGCCATCTAGCATTTATTAAGTGTTTCTTCTCTACCACAAACAATTCTCAGTGCCTTATGTGTGTTACATCCTCTATGGCTCTGTGAGTAGTTATTACTTAAGATTTACAGGCCGGGCACGGCACGGTGGCTCACACCTGCAATCCCAGCACTTTCAGAGGCCGGGATGGGTGGATCACGAGGTCAGGAGATCGAGACCATCCTGGCTAACATGGTGAAACCCCGTCTCTGCTAAAAGTATAAAAAATTAACCGGGCGTGGTGGCTCGTGCCTGTAGTCCTAGCTACTTGGGAGGCTGAGGCAGGACAATGGCGTGAACCCAGGAGGCGGAGCTTGCAGTGAGCCGAGACGGCCACTGCACTCTAGCCTGGGCAACAGTGCAAGACTCTGTCTCAAAAAAAAAAAAAAAAAAAAAAAAAAAGATTTACAAAGAAACTGAAACTCAATACACAGGTAGTAAATGACAGAAACAGGAGCCTGACCCCAGAGTCCTTGCTCGATATCATGTGCTTAAAAGGCAGGGACATTTCAGGGGGTGTAAAAATGTGTAGGACACCAGAAAATGCCATCCCAAAATATGCCACTTCGGTGTAAGGATTATTTTGAAAAAAAAAAAAAAAAAAAGCAGAAACAGGAGGAGCTATGAAAACAGAGTAGAAGTTACCCTTTTGCAAAGAAAATTTACATCTATAAAGGAAATCTTTATTAGTAAGGGTGTCTTCCTCTCTACCAGCAAAAGAAAAAAATTACTAAATCATAAGAAATTTGTATTAATGAAGAAAGCAAAGATTGAAATCTGCATAACAAACCTTACTCTTGTTTGCTGGACTTTTCCTGGTCAGCTTCCCATAACTGTCCTCTCCAATCCCCTCCCTCTTTTGTCTTTAGTGGAAGATGGTATTTAAGCCTCGATTCTAAGCCACCTCTCAGAGATTTACTTATTTTTCCCTGAGTATCTTCTGGGCATACGTGAGGTAACAAGTTAATAAACTTCAGTTTTTCTCTTGTTAATCTAACTTTTGCTGCAGGGCATCCCAGCTAAGAACAAAGAATGGCAGAAAAAATATATACATTTCTTCTCCTAGAAATGCTAATTAGAGAAAGCAATCAATTGCTAAACGGTTAAGAAAACCCAACTAGCTTCTCATAACAGTTGCAACCTAGACTTTCTGATGATTATTGATTAAAAGGCAAATCCAAGACTTTTCAATTCTAAACCCAAACCAGAATGTTCAATCAACCCAGTCAAATGAGTTAATTTAATTAACTTTAAAAAATAAGCAAAATTTATTTATTTTACTAAAAGGAATGGAAATTTACCTTGAATAATTAATCAGTTCCATCAAAATAATTTGGTGACAGATTGTGAACGCAAGCACCCTCTTGGGAAAAACAGCAGAGTAGTTGAAACACACAGCATGGACTTCCATAGCTACCATGGTAAAAAAGGTGAGACCACAAGGATGCTAAAATAGCAAAGCAAAAATTGCTAAGTCAATAAGATAGCAAATGAGCAGCTGAGGCAATGAAAGCAAAAAAAAAAAAAAAAAAAAACATTAAAAATCAGAGAACCAAGACTGGAACGGACAAAGGTCTTGAAAACATTTCTGTAAACTCAGAGGAATTTTGCAGTTTGAGCTTGAAGGACCCACAGATAAAATGAACAGAAGTTGACTTTGGAAGGTCACCAGTGTATAAGTGAGATCTCTAGTCATAGCAGCAACTGAAATGACACCCAGCAGGATTGTCATTAGTAATGTAAATGTAGATGTCTACACTGACAGCCTGATTGATGTAGGTTCAGAAGGGTAAACAAGAACCAATTCAAACAGTGCTAGCTCAGAAACAATAGCAGGTCTCAGTGCAGGTAGCAAGGAGCATGGGAAAAAGATGAATTATCTTGTTATAAATTGAACTCAAAAAATCTTTATTTTGCATGTAAGGTAACTTGTGAGAAAATTAAGTTCCAGTAAAGAGTAGTCAAAACATGGTGTTATAATAGTTATTTTGAGAACAAGTGAACATCACCTACAACTTTCTGACCTGGAATAAGAAATAACAATCTTAACATCAAGCTTAGTCCTCCAGTTTAAAATGTCTAGTTACCCCTGATGCAGGCTTTCTTAACTTTTTAGCAAAATATTAGTGAAAGCGTAAAAAAATTACAACACAAGAGCACTAGGCTTCTCAAGGAAATAATATTGTGAAAAAATTTAGCTTTAGCTTTGATAGTTGAGCAGTTAGTGTGTTAAGCAGTTAGGCTGGGAACAGAAAGAAGAGCAATTTTAAATATCTTTTTGTATGCCCAGCAACCCTCCCTATATGTTACCTAGTTTGAAAATAAACATAGAGAAATACACAACAGCATAGAACCTATTCAAAATGTACATTGCTACTTAAGAAACAGAACATAGCCTGTGACACAATGCAAAAATAAATAAATAAATAAATAAATAAAATAAAAAGTGACCACAATCCTTGATTTCTGTCTGTATCCATGTTCTTTGCTATGTGAGTTTGTATTCCTGCCATGAAAAAATGGAGTCTCCTTCCCCTCCCCTTTAACCTATGCTGAACTCCTGATTTGCTGATTAGTGAGATGTGGTGGAGGCAGAGGCAATGTTATGCCAGTTCCAAGCCTACAGCTCAAGAGTCCTTGCACACTTCTTTCTCCTGGAAACTTGCTCATCTGCCATGTAAACAAGCCTAGTCTAACCTGAGGTTAATGAGAGAGACCCTGTGGAGCAGAGATGAGCTGTCCTGGGTAAGTGTGTCCTAGACCAGCCACCCCTAGCTGACCCGACACTGATAGCAATGTCAAGAATGAGCTCAGTTAAGGATGACAATCACCACAGTGAGCCCACCTCTGATTTCTGACCTGCAGGAGAGCAACTTAATAAATGGTCCTATTTTAAGCCCTTAAGTTTTAAGGTGGTTTGTTTCACAGCTTAATTGATATATCACCCAAAACACTTATCATTAGGAGTACAGGCTCCCTAAATAAGAATTTACTAGTGCAAGCAAAACATAATATTAGCATATGTTTGGCAAAGCTTCCTAAATAGAACACTACTACTTGTTTATTTATTTGGAAGGAATGATGTTTTTATTTTCTTTGTGTTAAAACCACTCTTTATTTTTCTTAGTATAGATTTTTGTTCCTATGGTGAGGTCAGGTGACAAGGTCAGATTTTTAAAAATTTTAAGAATATGAAAATGTCAATAGCAGAATTAAAGAATGCATTGGATGCTAAATAAAGCAGAATTGATCTTTAGAAAATAGATTCAGTGGAATAGAAGATAAAATTGAGATATTCTATCAGGATGCAGAGGAAAAAAACAAACAAATACTAAAATACCAAGAATTCATATAAAAATTCCAAAGCTGTAATAACTAAAACTGTGATGTTGGCACAGGGAAAGAAAAATTGACCAATGGCATACTTTTGGTCAATGGTCAACCTCCCCCTTTCCCACCTCTCAATAACATGAATAAAAATTTTTGACAGAACTGATTTTCCTAATAAGAGGATAAAAACTAAATTTTTTTGTATATTTAAGGACACACATGTAATAAAATTATAACAAAAGGCAATAAAACATAAATAGAAGATTTGGGGATTTATTAATGGTATAAAGTGAATGGTAAAGTTTCATTTCCTAAATGGGATGATAGGTACAAAGGTGCTAATGGAATTCGCCTGTTATCTTACATATATATGTGATTATTCTATTTATTCAAGCAATGTTTAATGAGCCATCTTTTATAAAGGATATTTTAGAATGAAAAATATAATGAAAAGTCAAGTGTACATAAAGATTTTTAACTTGGAGTTCTGCATTTAACATCTAACTCAAAAAGAGATACATAAGCCCATATATAAAATCAGAAATATTGATAAATGTGTTAGCTGTTATCACTGGAATCTAAAATTAGATACTTATTGAATTTTTTAGTAAGATTATACTGAATTCTAATTTTAGAATCAGGTTTTAGAAGGCTATGGTACTTTTAATAATACTACAAAATGTTTATCATTGCACCCAAACTGTGGTCCAACAGACATGAACTGGGTAAGAATGATGAAAATTTATTTTAGGTGACAAAATCTAGGTTTAAGAGAAAGAGACTCAGTCATTGAAATAAGTACAACTACCAGAACTACTATAATTTATTGAACACTTTTTTTATGTGTTTGGCATTGTGCCCTGTGTGAATTGCTCAAGTAATCAACACCTTTTACAAAGTGACAGTTGAGCAAAGCTTTTGCCTTCTTTAGAGGGATATTAGCATCTCTGATAAGTTTAGACAGAAAGATAAAGTGATGTGTTTACTTGTCAACCAGTTGCACAGTCAAGTGCTCTGGAAAGAATAGAAAATCTTTTGAGGACATATTATCAAGAATCTCTGGATTCTTATATGTAGACAGCTGTCATTAAAGTTCCTCAAATCAGAAAAGAGGCATTTAATGAGCAAGGTACAGGGAAGACCTCCATGACCTGGTTTTATCTACTTTTGTGGGATAGTAGAGAGGATTCCATAAATAACATACTTCTTATCAGTCCAAATTCTGAATCAAGTTATGTTTAATACAAAGGAATCGCTATTTGTGGAGAAAAACATCTTATTATTGGTAAATATTAGGCTGGAGCATATGTTTTTTATTTATAGAGAAGAAGAATTTCTTATAGAAAATCCCAGAATTAGTCAGACTTACTGGCAACCCTGAATCAGTAAAGAACTATCCCTGACCAGACGTGGTGCCTCACTCCTGTAATCCCAGCACTTCGGGAGGCCAAGGCAGGCGGATCACCTGAGGTTGGGAGTTCGAGACCAGCCTGACCAACATGGAGAAACCCCGTCTCTACTAAAAATAAAAAATTAGCCAGGCATGGTGGCACATACCTGTAATCCCAGCTACTCGGGAGGCTGAGGCAGGAGAATCACTCGAACCCAGGAGGCAGAGTTTGCAGTGAGCCGAGATTGCACCACTGCACTCCAGCCTGGGCAACAAGAGTGAAACGCCATATTAAAAAAAAAAAAAAAAAGAAAAGAAAGAAAAAGGAAAAAAGAACTATCCCATAGTACTACACCATCTTCACCACAAAGTGGAATACATGACTGCTCCCAACAAAAGAGAGGGAATTACACATTTGGCTATTATCTCTTTCCAAATAAACCAATTACATAACCCATTCCAACTCCTCAGGAATACAATAAATGAAAGAAATGTAACTTTCCACATTTTACCTGCTTAACTAATTGGACTCAATCATTTAGCCTATCTAGGACATGATACATCTTCTCTATAGAGAAGATCAAGTATCCTATTAAGATAGACTTTGCTATAGTTTAGTTGTTTGCCCTCCCAAACTTTATGTTGAAATTTGATCCCAGTGTTGGAGGCAGGCTATAATAGGAGATGTTTGAGTTAGGGAGCAAATCTCTCATGAATAGATTAATACCCACCCTTTGTGGAGGCAGTGAGGGGGTTCTTGCTCTTTTAGTTCCCATGAGAGCTGATTGGTAAAAAGAGGCTGGCACATGCCCCACTTCCTTTTTGCTCCCTCTGTTGCCTCTGCACATGCCAGCTCCCCTTCACCTTATGTTGTGAGAGGAAGCAGCCTGAAGCTCCCACCAGATGCCTGATCTTCTAGCCAACAGAATTGTGAGTCAAATAAACCTTTCTTATTTATAAGTTACTCAGCCTCAGGTATTCCTATAAAGCAACACAAATGGACTATGACAGAAAATTGGTACTGAGGAGTGGGGTGTTGCTATAAAGATACCTGAAAATGTGGAAATGGCTTTGAAACTGGGTAGTGGGCAGATATTTTAAGTGTTTGTATGGCTGACAAGAAGGCAAAAAAGAAGAAAAATTTGGAACTTCTTACATATTGGTTAAGTAATTATAACCAAGATGCTGATAGAAATATAGACAGCAAAGGCCATGCTGAGGAGGTCTCAGATAGAAATGAGGAATTTACTGGAAACCAGAGAAAAGCTTAGCCTTATTATACAGTAGCAAAGAATTTAGCTGCATTGTCCCATGCCCTAGGGCTTTATGGAAGACCAAACATAAGTGTGATGACCCAGGGTATTTGGTAGTAGAAATTTCTAAGCAGCAAGGCCCTAAATAAGTAATGCAGCTACTTTTCTTACAGCTTATAAACAGATATGACAGCAAAGGGATATTCTAAATGTGGAATTTACAATTAAGAGGGAATCACAGTGTGAAAATTTGAGAAATTCATAACCTGGCCATGTAGCAGAGAAGAAAAGAGCATTTGCAAGAGACAGATCCAAGGGTGCTCTACAGCAACCACTTCATACAGAGATTAGCTTGACTAAAAGGGAGCCAGGTGCTAATAGTCAAGACAATGGGAAAAAGACCCTGAAGACATTTCAGAAATCTTTGAGGCAAAAATTCCCATCACAGGCCCGGAGGACTAAGAGGACAGAAGGGCCTGCAGTGCTGTTGCCCTGCACTGTCTCAGCATGCTGCTCACCACATCCCAGCTGCTTCAGTTCCAGCTACAGCTAATGGGGCCCAAATACTGCTTGGGCCACTGCTCCAGAGAGCACATGCAGTAAGCGTTAGTGGCATCCATGTAATGCTAAGTCTGAATGTGTCCAGAATACAAGACAGGTAGAGGCCTGGTGACTTCCACGTGGACTTCAGAGGCTGTATCAGAAAGCTTGGGAGTGTAGACCTGCCTCAGGGGTAGAGCCACAGCGGTGGACAGTGGAGCTGTGGGAAGAGGAATGTTGCAGATACCCTAGAATTATGGAGCCACCAGCAGCATGCAACTTCAGCCCATAAAAGCCACAGGCACCAGACCCAAACCTGTGAAAGCAACCACTTCTGCTGTGCCTTGCAAAGCCATGGGGCCAGGGCTGCCTCAGGCTTTGGGAGCCTACCCCTAGCACTAGTGTACCCAGGATCTGGGACACTGAGCCAAAGGAGATTATTCTGGAGCTTAAAGACTTAATGTCTGCCCTGATGGATTTTGGACTTTTATGGGGCCTTTTACTTCTGTCTTTTAACCTATTTCTTCCATTCCTCCCTTTTGCAATAGGAATGTTTACCAATTACGTTTACCACCATTCTATCTTGGGAGTAAATAACTTATTTGATTTTACAGGCTCATAGGTAGAAGGAATTTGCCTTGAGTCTCAGATGAGACTTTGGACTTTGGACTTCTGAGCTGATACTGGAATAAGCTAATAATACTTCGGGAGACTATTGGGAAGGGATGATTGTATTCTACAATATGAGAGGAATATGAGTTTTGAGGGACCAGGGGCAAAATGCTATATTAGGCATTGTTCCTCCAAACTACATATTGAAATCTGATCACAATGTTGGAGATAGGGCTCTAACGTGAGGTGTTTAGGCCATGGGGGCAGATCCCTCATGAATAGATTAATGCCCTCCCTGTAGTGGGGTGGTAAGTGAGTCCTACTCTATTAGATCCTGTGAGAACTGGTTATTTAAAAAAAAAAAAAAAGAGCTTGGTATCTTTCCCCTCTTTCTTTTCTTTCCACTTACGGTGTGATCTCTGCACATGCTGGCTCCTCTTTGCCTTCCACCAGAAGTGGAAGCAGCCTGAGACTTTCAACAGATGCTCAACCTTCCAGCCAGTCTTTATAAATTACCATCTTTATAAATTACTCAGTTTCAGGAATTGCTTTATGGCAACATAAATGGATTAAGACAGACTCGTCTGCCCCTTCATGAGGCTGCTTCTCACAACAGCAACCACTGATCCTATAGGTATCCTCATGGACAATGCAGATTTTTGTTCAGAGGGTTTCATTTTGCTGAGTTAAATGTCCAGCATCTGCTTAATGTTTCAAAGGCTTATGTGTTTGCTGAGCCTTGAGTGGCCCTAAATATTTCCTGAGGCCCAAGGTGTCTCATACCTTCACTAAGACATGAGTTACTTCTCAACATTGCTGAAGTGTGCCTTCCATTTGCCTAATTCTCACTGGGCACATGTAGTACTGCTTCTACAGAAAGAGCTATTTGCCTGTGGACAAAGCTTCCATTAAGTTGCAGTGAGGTCAAAATAACTCAGGGCAAAAATCAAAGTTCCTTTCCCAGTTTGCAAGAAGTAACAGCCAACCACATAACTATAAAAACAAGTCTTATGGGCTAGCATAAACTTCCAAGGCCCCAAATCAACAAACAACAAATGAAGTCTAAGGCCTAAATCTGGGGGAGATGTTCCCCACTTAGAACCATTTGACAACCATTTCCCCCACAGAATTCTTCTTCCCAATTATTTCTCAAGGTTTGTGCCCCAATATACATTCTAACAATCCTAAATTAAATTACTCCCTTCAAAACAGCATTTAACTTCCCCATCACCCAACCTCATCTTTGACTTAGGGGCAAAACCTGTTTCTGTAAATGTAAGACATGGAGAAAACCAAATGGGAACAACTATACCGTGCAGGTAAGCTGGCTCCCAACGGAGAGAAGATAAAAAGGGTAGGAATATACAGTTCTAGTTGCACCTTCCAAACCCAGGTACATCAACCCCACCCACCGTAGGAGAGATATAAGTTGATGGCAAGAGGACAAGTGTGTTACACTAATGGATATTCCTCCACCTGGAAGAAAGCACAGAAATAAGAGCTGTTTTCTTTCATTCCTACTTTTCTCCCCTTAATATTTTGTACTCTAGTGCTTCTAGATTGATTATAATTCTAATTTTACACCCAGTGGTGTTTCATGCCATTGTGCCTTTGTCCATGCCATTTCCTCCTCCTCGTACTTCTTTTGGTCACCCTCCCATCTACCATCTCAGTACTCACAGACACATTCTCTTCCTTCTTCCATGAGTAACTTCTACTCATTATTCAAGCTGAGGTTTAATGCCCTGTTTCCAAGAAGTCTCACGTTCCCTCTGAAGATCCTTGCACTCTCAAATCATTCACATAGTTCTCTAGGCTGTTCTGTTTCCAGGCAATGACCATATATATTGGAAATATCTATGTATATACCTGTTTCTATGTTAAAGGAAAATGCTAGTGAATAAAATAATGCAGAAGTAATAATGTAAAATATGAATTCCTATAACACAAATTACACTCATGAAGTAATTTTCAATTGCAATAAAATGCTTTTAAAAATGTAACTTAAATAAAATAAAGCAACAATAGTAATTGTGCAGTGAAAATGTCATTTTGTGATATCTTTGATGTAGAAGCCATAATAACATCAGTGAGTGCTTTATGTCCTGACATCATCTGATTCATTAGCTTATTTAGAAAAAAAAAAAACCTTATGGACATGCTTGAATGAAACAAATTCTATACTCAGAAACAAGGAAGTCTGGGTGAGGGTGAGGAGTGAAGACTTTAAATCATCCTTAAAATTAGAAAGCAGCTATTATTTTTGAAATGCCCTTGTTGGGCTAGTCATTCTTACTTTACTATTTAGTTTATTAACAGACTTGTTTTTTTCCTACAAATCACTGATATTGGTTAGCTGTTTATAATTAGGAAAGACAAAACCTTTCTCAGTGCAGAGACGAGTTGTTTGTCAAACAACAACAAGAACAAAATGTGCCCAGTTAGTACCTAGTTATAATATCCTAGTTGGTACCCAGTTTATATCCTAGAAGTAACTTTAGTCTGTTCAGGCACAGATAGTGAGTCCTCAGAGGGTCTTTGCTTTCTAAATACCATGATACCTTATAATATTTTGTAATTTACAAACACCTTTACTCATATATTATTTGGGTATCACAGCAATTCTAGGTGGTAAATATTATTACTTTGCCATTTTTCAGATGAGGAAATTAAGGCATTTAGCAGATCTTCAAATGCAGAGCAACTTATTCTAGTTCCAGTAATATTTCTATTATGCTACAGCTACACCCAGCCCAATCCTAATATGATATACAATAAACTTATTTCTGGTACACATATAATGCAGTATTCAAACTACCCACTAATAGGTAATTCATGATTTGTAACTGTTATTCATTCATATAAAGTAGTTACATTCATCCACTCAACAAACATGTACAAATTCCTTGTAAGGAATGAAACAAATCCAGGACTGAGGAAGATTGAAAAAACTTAGCAAAGACAATAGTATACATCGTTTTGACTTAAAAAGTTATTTTTTAGCTTGATTAATCTCAATAACATAGTGGCTGTACTATTATTTACCTATTTATTATATTTCAATTCTTTGAAGTTATTGGCCCAATTCAGTTTCCTTGAGTTTCTTTGCTAATGAATTCATTTAATAGGTTAAACCATACGAAAAGGCCAACTTTAAGAAAGTTCTTGACCTATGAAAACCGTAATTTTATACGGTTTAATTTAGTGTTTCTGCAAATTGGGACAGAACAGGAATATTTTGTCTCTCCAAGTCAGCAAACAGATAACATCAAATTTGACGAGATGCCATCCAGCCTAAGACAGACTAGCAATTTCCTAAAACAGTCAGCATTTTATAAATAAATCTCATATTTAACATTATTTAATGCTCTTTGAACGAAGATTTCTGAGCCTTTTGGAGATGACTTTACCTATATTTACATCACAGGAACATGAATACCATAACAGAGAGACACAAGTGTGTCAATGTGTTACACAAGAAGCAATATTTTAAGAGTATTTCAAATTACATCAGTCAATGGCAGTGACTCATTATGTGATTTTTTCCCAAGGTTTTTGTGTATTTTATAATTTCTGTGGAGGAATTTAAAAAGAAACATGTTAAGAAGAATCTGACTAGGTACACAAGGTTGAAATCCTGGCATGTGCTCTTACAAACTTTTTATTCTGATACACGCCATAGGTTAGAAGCCAGCATAATAAACACTAAGAGGTAAATGTTAAAGGTGATTGATTCATTCATATAGCCACACCAAGCCTGCCATTATCTGCAACTATAACTTATAAGGAAAGCTTGTTTAGAACAGAAAAGCAACTTATAGGCACATATTAAAGGCTCCACATAAGAGTGTAATACAAAGATAAAATCAGAAAAGGCCAGTTTATCACAAAGCTATTTCTACATATTCAGATTTATCATCTTCTAAGCCAGGAACTACAGACAGACAGTAAAGCAATTACCACCATTCATTTCTATTCAGAATCGACAATCTCAAGTCTTTCGTGGTCCACATCCCTGCTAAGGTCAATAAGACTTTACTATTCTTGAATTATTTACCTATAGTCCTGTGTGATGATTAATAACAGGTGTTCACTTGACTGCATTGAAGGATACCCAGGTGGCTAGTAAGGTATTGTTTCTTGCAGTGTCTGTGAGGGTATTGCCAGAAGAGATTGACATTTAAGCCTGTAGACTAGGAGAGAAAGACCCACCCTCACTGTGGCACCTTCCAATCAGCTGCTCGCACAGCTAGTACAAAGCACGCAGAAGAAAGTAAAAGTAGCTTGTTAAGTCCACTTGCGCGCTGTCTCTCTCTCTCTCTCTCTCTCTCTCTCTCTCTCTCTCTCTCTCTCTCTCTCTCTTCCCTAGCGGAATGCTTTCCTTCTTCTACTCCTGCCCTTGGACATCAGACTCCAGGTTCCTCGGTCTTTGGACTGTGGAACTTGCACCAGCAGTCTCCCGGGGGACCTCAGGTCTTCGGCCTCAGACTGGGGGCTTCACTGTTGGCTTCCCTGGTTTTGAGGCTTTTGGACTTGGACTGAGACACACTACTGGCTTCTCTCTTTCCCCAGCTTGCAGAAGGCCTATCTTGGGACTTCTTGTAATCGTGTGAGCCAATTCTCCTTAATAAACTCTCTTTCATATGTACATACATCCTATTAGCTCTGTTCCTCTAGAAAACGCTAATACATGCTATAACAAATTATCACAAACTTAATGGCTTAAAATAATACAAATTTATTCTCTTATAGTTCTGGCTGGATATCAAAAATCAAGGTGTTGGCAGGACTGTGTTTTTTCTAGAGGTTTCAGAAGAGAATCCCTTTCCTTACCTTTTTGAGCTTCTAGAGCTGCATTTTTTTTGCATTCCTTAACTCATGCCCCTTCTTCCATCTTCAAAGCCAGCAGCGTGGACACATGTTCTTCTCCTCTTCTGTGGTCAAATCTGCCTCTTTCTCATAAGGATCCTTGTAATTACATTTAGCACCCACCCAGATAATTCAGGATAATCTCCTCATTTGAAGATTCTTAAATTAATCACATATGCAATGTCCATACTGCTCTATAAGATGACATTCACAGGTCCTGGAGATTAGGTCTTGGATATCTTTGGGGGCCATTACTCAGCCTACCACACTTTTCAACACAACAGTGCTGGGCTGTGAAACCCATTTTTCTGAGATGATGTCTCTTTGAATTATGAATATAAAATATTAGAAATCTAAATTATCTCATTTGAACTTCACATTTTACAAACTGTAAAACTGAAGTCTCCCAAGGGCTTCAATAAACTGTCTTGAGTAGTATGGGTTATCAGGAGCAAAGCTGTGACTAGAGCCCAAGCCTCCTAATAACTATACCAATGTTTATTCCATCACCATCCAATGGTAGTGAAAATGGATACTTGGAAATAAAAGCTTGGAGGCAGTCATGTGGAAAGTTCAATATACTAAGGTAATATTGCTATCTCTCAAGCACTGAGACAGGGAAAGACCCTAGGTTATATAGGGCTTATACAGGCTTTTAGAACAGTCAATCAGTTAATTAGTCTCCTTTGTTGTAGTGGTATTTGTTACTCTGTTTGATTCAGAAATGATTCTAAAATCACAAAAGGTGAGTATTAGTGGCTTTCTCATAAACTTTTATAGACTTTTTTCATACCTACCCTTAAGGAATGATTTGTTATAGCAGACAGAAAAGAGAGAGGGAGAAGGAGAAGAACAGGGTAAAAGGGAGATGAAGAGGGAAAGGGAGGGAGAGAGAGAGAGGAAGGAGGAGAGAGAGAGATTTTCTTAGTTGGGCAGTAGGAGTCCCGTCTAGACAGCTCTAGCTTTCTTGAAAAACACAGAGGTAGCATTTTTTTGTTGCTATAGGACTTTATGTGAAAATTGTCTGTAGAATTTTCCCCTGAGTGGCACATGACCATAACATGGGACATTGACAGCCTGATGTTGAATTTGTGCCTCCTGTATTGATTAGGATGCATTCAGGTGAAAGTAACAGACTGCCTCCCTGATGATGGCTTAACTCATAAAACTCAATTGGCTCATTTAACAAGAAATCTGAATGTAAGAATCTCAGGGATGGTCCTACAACTTAGCAATGCCATTAAGGAGCCAAACTTTCCATGCTTCCACACCACCATCCACAGTATGCTGATTCCTGTACTCAGTCTTATTGCCTCATGGATGACACCAAATTGCGGTCACAGTTTCAGTCATTATGTCTTAATGCAATAGCCCAAAGCAGAAATTTCATTTGGAAAGGGATGCAGAGGCAAAAACAATACATCTTCTTGTACCTCTCTCAGGAAAGAAAAGCTTTGCTAGGAGTTATCAATAGACTTCTTACATCCCGGTGGGCATAAGTGGGTGAAAAGCTTTCCAAAGATTATTCACTAACAAAGGGGAATTAAGTTATTATGATTGCCTTAGAATATTATATTTATCCTGTGTGGCTAAGTACATTGCTATATACGAAGCAAAGAAACATTTTGTGATGAGAAAGAAACAAGGAAGTATTGTTGGTCAGGCCAAAGCAAATGCATGCCACCATGATCACATATATACCACCTTCTGCTGCTTACTTGTCTCTTCTTCACTCTCGATCCCCTATCTCGACAGATGATATTTGTTTATTACTCTAGGTAATTTATCTGTAAATGAGTCTCTCCTCCAACTTATAACTCACTTAAAGGAGATGATAGATTACATAGATAGATGATAGCTAGCTAGCTAGCTAGCTAGCTAAATAGAAGGCTATTATAGAAGCCTAGATAGATAGATAGATAGATAGATAGATAGATAGATAGATAGATAGATAGATAGATAATACAAGGTAGAGGGCTAAGGCCTAGACACAATTTTCAGTGGCTGTTATTTTTACAAGCTGTTTTCTTACACAGAAAGTATATGTTAAAACAACCATGGACATGGAAGAAGCTACTGAGAGGTTTAGAAAGTATACAGTATGGTATAGTACAACCCCAATTACTGAGGTTACCATATGTTCTACTTGGGCTGCGACAGTTCCATTTAACTGTTGCGCTGTGTAAATTTGAATAGTATCTGTTTTAACTTGCATAAATGTTCTGACTTGGACTATGAATTATGCAGTCACGTTACCTAGAGCTTCTTTTGCCACAGTGTATGAGCACATATACAGATAAGAATGTTTTCATTTGTTTGTTTATCAGACAGGATCTCACTCTCGTAGAGGCTAGAATGCAGTGGCATGATCATGGCTCACTGCAGCCTCAACTTCCTGGACTGAAGATATCCTCCTGATTCAGTCTCCTGAGTAGCTGGGACTACAGGCATGCACCCCAACACCACACTAATTTTTAATTTTTGGTAGAGACGGGGGTCTCACTGTGTTGCTCAGACTAGCCTCAAACTCCTGGGCTCAAACAATTCTCCCTCTTTGGCCTTCCAAAATACAGGGATAATGGGCATGAGCCACTGTGCTCAGCCCAAATTTAAACTTTTGATCAAAAGTAATAGAAACTCAATTCAATCCAGACTAGTTTAGGAAGAAAAAAAGAATTCATTGTCTTATGTAACTGAAACTTCCAAAGATAACTGGATTCAAGCATTATATTTTAGAGCCATGTGTCTTTTTCTGTGTCTCAGTGAATTTACCTTCAGGGAATAAAAGCAATCACCTGTGACAGCCCTGTAGACACACCCTAGCCACCTAGCAACCACAATGAAAGATGCCATCATTTTAAAGGCTCTGGCAGAAGATTCCTGGATGGGAGATTCGGTGGCCTGAATTGAGCCATGTGCCCATCTCTAAACCTACTGTTAGGTTCAGGAGGATAAAGTATTTTCATAGTCCAAGCCCAGGCTTCATGACCATCTCTCTGTCTGGGACAAATTTTGTGAAGTTAAAGAACTTAGCTCTGTTGAAACTTATGGAATAGCTTCCTCAGAGGAAAATCACTTCTGTTATAAGAAAATTGGAAAAAGAAAGCTAAATGAAACAGATGTTCACTACCCTCAGGGATAATTCTTGGAAAAAATCTTTCAGGAGATGCATGAGATGTTCTGCCTTTACTATTGGCAACATGGCATTTGTTTTCTAGTCAGCGGTAGCCCCTCTATTTTCCTAGAATCCATTATATTCATAACATTAGAACAGAGAAGGAGGAAACAGGCTTCAAATCATAGTCCTTTATTGTAATAAAGTTTACTTTGATTCACATTATCCATATGACTGCAGTTTCTAATTGTAAAACCAAAAGCACATGGAAAATTCGAACATATGAGCAGTGCAAATTGTGTTTAAGTGTCTCTTTCGAATGAGCTTTTCTCCCCCTACTTTTTCTGCCTGGGTTCTGTTTATGGCATGGAAAGACTCACATGGCTAATGGCACATAGAGAGTTTTGGCTACTGAAGTATCTCGAAGTGGTGATGTGTGTTTAGAGAGGCCCTGCCTTCCCTTATTACTTTGCATTGCCTTTGTTTTTTAGTTGTCCTGCCTACAGAGGGAAGGATCAACCCCCCACCAACATCAAGATAATAGCATCATATATCACCTAGAGGATATAAATTAAACACATGGTGGGATTTTTTAATAGAGCAGGGTAGGCACCCAAGCTGGTGAGGGGCAGCTTGAGGAAAGAAAGAGACAAGTATCCCTGGTCTTTACTGTGGTTAGGGAATGGGACCGGGATGAGGAAGGTGAGGGTTCTTATGGGCAGAGGTTTGTAGGATTTGATTCCACTTTTCTATGGACTTATTTAGATGTGAGACAAAAGAGAAAGGTAGAAAAAGTGGTGCCTCAAGCTGTTAGCAATCAAACATTTGTTTAAAATGGAGGAATCTGACTGTTCACCATCTTGTTTTAGAATTTCAGCTGCACCACTGACTAGCTGTGTGCTCTTGTTAAGTGATGTCAAGTTCCTGGGTTCACTTATATTTTTGAAGAGGACCATCATACTTTCTTTGTAGCGTTATTGTGTGGATTAAATACATAACAGTAGAGGGCTTAATGCTTTGCATGATTCAAAATAAAAATATAACAATTACTATTCCCCCTTTCCCCTGTGCCACTTTAACCTTCTTTATGCTCTAGGTGCTGAAGTCTAGAAGGCCATTTTGATTTAAATATCTCTTCAAATATGTAATATATATATATGTATATATTAACATACTACTGGCTTTCTGTATCCTTGTGTTCTACATCTGTGAATTCAAACAAATGTGGATCCAATTTTTTTTTTTTTTTTTGAGATAGAGTTTCACTCTTGTCACCCAGGCTGGAGTGCAGTGGCACGATCCCCACTCACTGCAACCTCTGCCTCCTGGGTTCAAGTGATTCACCCGCCTCAGCCTCCCGAGTAGCTGGGATTACAGGCACTCACAACCACGCCTGGCTAATTTTTGTATTTTCAGTAGAGACGGGGTTTCGCCATGTTAGCCAGGCTGGTCTGGAACTCCTGACCTCAGGTGATCCATGCACCTCAGCCTCCCAAAGTGCTGGGATTATAGGCATGAGCCACTGTGCCCAGCCCAAAATAATTTTCTAAAAAAGAATGGTTGCATCTGTACTGAACCTGTATAGACTTTTGTCTTGTCGTTATTCCCTAAACAATACAGTATGACAACTATTTACATAGCATTTACATTTTATTAGGTATTATGAGTAATCTAGAGATGATCTATGTATAGAGAAGAATGCTCATAGATTATATCCAAATTACTGTGCTATTTTATATAAGAGACTTGAGCATCCCTAAATTTTAGTGTTCAAGGGGTGTTCTGGAACCAATCCCCCAAGATACCAATGACATCTCTATAGTTATTCAAATAAATACAAAAATACATAAACACATCCAAATATGTCTATGTTTGTCCAAATATGTTTATAAGAAAGGAATCACAAGGTAAAAGTAAAAGTTAACCCAAAAGAATGAATGGCTCAAAGGGGGGAAAATGTTGGTGCAATAGCTATCCCAGTAAATTCAACTCAACTTCCATAGACATCAGCCTACCTTATATATATGTGAATTATGCCATGTCATATCCAAAATGATGTTAAGGCAGATATCCTTTCTTCTTGAAGAAGCTTCCAGATGGATATAGGAAGTGCCCTCCATGACATGTGTCATTAACCTTTTCCTCAGCTTTACAAAATTTAGACAAGCATCTGCCTATCTCTAAGACCATAAAGTCCCTTGCCTTAAACCATTTACTTTAAGAAAACTTGTCATTGTAAATTCTTTCTCTGCCCCTTTAAAGTATATGCAAACCTTCCCCAGTCTTGTGACAGTTTTACAACCCTGGAAATGCCTTTCTCAAGGAACTGAGAACCCTCTCTGAAATGTCATCAATCTTCAAGGAAAACAGCACTCCTATCTCCCAGTCTTCATGAGAAGGTGAGTGTCTTGCTCCACGTTGTAAAACTACTTCCTGCCTTGAAAATAAGAGCAAGTTTTTTCCTATGGGGAAGGCCAATTAGCAAACACAGATGGCCTATGTTTCCCCACCATCTCTCCAGCTCTTAAAAGCTCTCTGGCATTTTGTTTCAGCAGTTGAGCTCATGTGCTGGTTTCTGACCTCTCTTTCCTATTGCAATAGTTTAAATAAAGTCTTCCTCACCTGTTAAACTTTGTCAAGATGCAAGTTTGCTTCACAAGTGCTCTCCTAACATCTGATTTTGTCATTGCTTTGCTTGCAAAAAGCAGTTTTATGCTGGGCTGGTAGGTTTTTCTTTCTCCATTCTTTTCTCTCTCTCACTCTGTGCGTGTGTGTGTGTGTGTGTGTGTGTGTGTGTGACTGGGGAGCTCATGTGAATTCTGGTGCATTTTACCCAGGGAAGAAGACATTTCATTTGAGCAATAAGTACACTCTAAATGACACTTGAGGAGTCTACACTGCTCACATGTTCCTCTGTGACTTCTAGATGAGATATTTACATACTGCAGATTTTTTTCCCTCTTATGGGTCACAAGTTGCCATGTTGTTTACTTCAGTGTGAAGAGAAAGTATTGTCTTCTGAGTATGGATAACCCTCTGGGAGTGGGGATAGCAGCACTTTTTATTCCAGGCTGGGCAAGGTGAAGTACACCTGTAGTTCCAGCTACTTGGGAGGCTGAGGCAAGAGGATTGCTTGAGCCCAGGAGTTTGAAGCTGCATTCAGCTATGATTGCACCAATACATTCAAGCCTAGGAGACAGAGTGAGAAAATTATATATATATATAAAATTTTGAGACAGGCTCTCACTCTGTTTCCCAGGCTGGAAGACATATATATATAATGCATCTGTTCCAACTGAAATTTCACGTCAGTGACAAATTGTCCTACCCACAGAAGGAAGCACCCTATTTCTTGATAATTCTGACCTGTTGCTGTCATGGCAATGTGGTGACGCTAACACGTTAGTGCCTGAATAGGAGGACCTGGAGCCTGAGAAATGCATGACAGAGAAAAAAAAAATGTATGTATATATATATATATATATACACACAAACACACACATATATATATATACACATATGTATATATATACACATATATATATATGGCACAAGAACAACAGATGGCTCCCGTAACAGAAAAGCCAGTCAAAACATTGTTAGAAGCAATTTATTTGCACCAAAGCTACCTCTATTTACATTACAAGTTTATGTATATTACGTAAGTTACATACCCAGATTATCTGAAAACCTACAGTGCAATTTACATGTATAAAGCATTTGTGATCTACTCATCAACATATTCCTACTCTCAGTTTCAAAATATAGCATATCTATAAAGAAATTCATAAGCAGAATCAAAAATAGTTGCGATCCTAAGCTTTTGGACCCTTTAAAATAATTCTGGTCACCTAAATCAAGGTGTATCATATGCTAGTGGTTGGAGTAAAAATAAATAATAGAGAAGAGGAGAGATAGGCTCATACCTTCAACCCCAAAGGGCAGAGGATTGTCAGAAAAAAACATCAAAAACAAGAAAAAGAAGAGTTTATTCAATAATACCAAGGAATAGAGCTCCAGGAGAGAAGCTGCTGCAGAAAGATAAGAGCAGCAAGCAGAGAGGCCTCCTCAAAACAAGGAGGAAAATCTAAGTGAGTTCAGAACATTTCTTTCCACTAATAAAGAGAACATAAATGTTAATGTGATCCTGAATATTAAAATAATCTTTGTTTAAAATGGCTGAGTAAATAATAATAGAAAACATTTATTTACTGAAGCTTTAAAGATGTTTTATTCTTAAAAGTTTCTTTTAATTTTTTTATCTTTATCTTATTTTATTTACATTTTAATATCTGTTAGGTAAGTTAGTTAAATTACATTTTATTATCTTAAATGAATGTTTACTATTTGAGATAATTTAAAAATCATTCTAATCCATTTTCCTCTGAAACATTATCAAAGCTTTAGATATAATGTTTTCTTTTAACAAGATAATCAATAAACTCAGTTTTGCCTTAACAATAGATTGTGTTATTAGAGATGGAAACATCCAACAATGTTCATGTTTAAATGGCTACACTTCCCATGTTATTCCTGAAGGCTTGAACTCCAAAGTCAAACTACAACTGTCTGGGCACCGGATTTCCTGACCAAAGGGGACATGAATAATGTTCTCACATAGCTACTGTTGTTGTCTTCCCAACTTATCTTCCTCCCTCCCTTCCTCTGGTAACAGTATCCTTTTCTCCGTGGGAGATCCACTCCATATGATTTGGCTGAGACTTTCCCCTCTCACATTCCAAAAGTGTAACACATGATACTGTTGCAGAATTTTCTCCTTAGTTCAGCTAAAACCCAGCTATTGTCACACGACCAGGAAAGATCAGGCTCACAGACACGTAGAAGGGTGAGGAAAATGGAATTTATTGGGCGAAAAGGAAAAATAACTCTTAGAAAAGCAAGAGAGAGAGTCCTGCTAGCAGGTTTCCCGCCTCACAGATTGAATCCCAGGTCACCACAAAGCAACAGGAGAAGCCAGACTCCTCACCACTGCAAATGGCGGAAACTGCCTGAAGCACCATGGCATTGTACCAGTGGGCAGGTGGGCATTATTCAGAAAGAATCAATTGGGAAAGGGCAAGCTTCATCCTGGACCAGAAGTCTGGTTTTTCAGCCTTCAGGCTGTTTCAGGTTTGAAGGCAGGGTTCTGCTGGAGTGGGGGGTACCTAAGCTGCCTCTATCAATACCAACCTGGACAACAAGAGCTGCCCATCCTCAAGGCACAGTTCTTAGCACACTGTTACCAGTGGAAGAGACCTGAATTACCTAAGTCACTGTTGGCCTATCTGTATGGGTCTGTAGCAACTTCAGTCCTTGCCTCCTCAGTAGAAAGAATTCAACTGAGGGGCATAAAGCAGAAAAAGAGATCAAGGCAAGTTCCAGAGAAGGAATGGAAGTTTATTTTAAAAGGCCTCAGAACAGGAAAGAAAGGAAAATTTGCTTGAGAGGGACCTAAGTGGGCACGCGAAGATTGAAGAGAGAAGGTTGAGTGCCCCATTTAACTGGGATCCTAGGACTTTTATAGACTTGACTCTTTCCCATGATTCTTCCCTTTGGGTGAGCTTCCTGCATGTATAGTGCTTTCCTTACCCTTTTCCCTTTCCAGTTGTAAAAAGTAAAGTAGAGGTTCCTCTTCAAAAACTTTCCTTTCCATCTAATTAAGAATAAATAATAACTTCTCTTAGAAGCAAAATTTATTCAAAGACCTGTGC